>NT_187564.1:0-271455 GCF_000001405.40 Homo sapiens
GAATTCTTAATTGCATAAGACAGCCCCACACATTGCAGGACATGCTGCTGTCCTTGCCCGTGCCCACTAAATTTCATTGGTATCCCAATCATTTTGACAACTACCCCACCTACACACACAGTTACAAAAGTTTTGGGGGTAAGAGGACCAGGAGGAAAATTGCACTGCACATAGTTGAAAAGCTATAGTTAAGTCTTTTCCTTACAACTTGGTGAGAAGCAATGGACTCCGTAACAGTGCCATGGTGGATTATATGTGTCAACATAATTAACAGAAAGAGGATCTCTGAAATATAAGATATTTATCTGGAAATAAAGCATTGCAATGGGAATATGCATGCCATAGTTAACTACATGCATATTCAGGGAGGTGAAGACAAAAGTTTTTAAAGGAAAAAAGGAGGAGGATTACATAATTGTTTTAAAATAATTATCCTTGGCTACAAAGATCAATAACAAGGGTGACACCAGTCCAAGTTTGGACAGGCAAATTCAGG
The DNA here is from genome assembly GCF_000001405.40 of Homo sapiens. Classification (NCBI taxonomy): domain Eukaryota; kingdom Metazoa; phylum Chordata; class Mammalia; order Primates; family Hominidae; genus Homo; species Homo sapiens. Next base: position 497 of record NT_187564.1, read on the forward strand.
GCAGTTGTTCTTGTAGAACCGTTTTTTTGTGTAAGGTTGCAATGGTGTTTGGGCAATGTTGTGCTTTTTGCAGAGTCTCTGTGATAGTTCTTTTGATCAGGCATTTATTCATGGCCTTCCCCAGCTCCATTTCTCAGGGCTTTCTTTTTTTTTTTTTTTTAACATTAGTGACTTCATTTTGATTCTGACAACTTTCACACATGTGTGTGGTGATGTGAGGTGGGGGCCAGGACATGTCACCCTCAATATACAACGGTAACCTGTCTTTGTAATAATAGTTCACTAATCTTTCCTGAGCACTTATATATTCCGGGCACTAAGCTGTGTATTATATAGTTTACTTAATCCTCACAACCACCTATGAGGTCCCATTTTTTAGGGACGAAATTGAGGCTGAGAAAGTTTCAAGACATTGACCCAAGTTAACACGGCTGCTACAGACAAGGGCAAGATACACCCCCAGGCGTCGGACTTCGCTGCTCTGTGCCGACCTCTTTAACAAGAACAAACATCAAAATTCCCAGTTGGAAGACTCCTATTAAAAACTGTCCTCTCCCATTAATTATAACGTAGAGCAGTTTTGCACAATATATTCTGCATAGTGTTAATTTAGTGGGATGTCAAGTGTTGTGAGATTAACGGTTGCATGGGCGATGGAGTGTGGGAAATGCTTTCAGCAAGGCCCTTGTAGAAGGCCGTGAAACAGAAACCGTGAAGACCACAGGATCCCTAAGGTGGCACAGCCCTTCACAGTGAGTCGGAGTGATTTAGAACATTGCTGAGCAAACAGCAGGGAGACCGGCAACAGGAGCTTGCTGGCCATGAAGTGCCTAATATCCAGTAAGCACTGCTCAGGCTCTAGGAAAAGGCTGATGCAGGAAGGGTTTCTTTCTTCTAATTTCTCAATAATAATAAAAATAGATACTATTTATGGAGTACTAATTACTCTCCACTTCATAGATGAAATACCAAGGCCTAGAAAAATGTGTTAAGTAACTTCTCCTAAGGTCACACAGCTATTTAGTGGCAGAGCCAAATTTGAACCCAGTTCTCTCTAACTTCAAGACATGTGATTGTAAACCCTATACACAAAGTCTCTAAGGACGTAGGGCTTATAAAGGCTTTCCTGTATGAATATCCAAGCAAATTCAGTCTCAAAGAGGATGCCCCTATGGGTTCCCTGTACCAGGGATTTATTTTTGGCATATCTCTTCAACCTGACAATTCGTTCCTTGGTCTGAGTACATGAAATTTTTTTCAGGGTATGTGAATTTTTTTCTTGGTATGTGAAATTTTTTTCTGGTATAATGTAAGTTTCTTAAATTTTACTATTTTTTTAATTTTATAGATTTCTATATGATATGGTTTGGCTCTGTCCCCACCCTAATTTCAAATTGTAGTTCCCATAATCCCCTCATGTTGTGGAAGGGACCTGGTTGGAAGTAATTTAATCACAGGAGGAGGTCTTTCTTGTGCTGTTCTTATGATAATGAATAAGTCTCACAAGAGCTGATGGTTTTATAAATGGGAGTTCCCCTGCACATGTGCTCTCTCTTGCCTGCCGCCATGTAAGACATGACTTTGCTCCTCCTTTGCCTTCCACCATTATTGTGAGGCCTCCCCAGCCATATGGAGCTGTGAGTCCACTAAACTTCTTTCTCTTTATAAATCACCCAGTCTCTGGTATGTCTTTATTAGCAGCGTGGGAACAGACTAATACATCATACCCTGTTACATGCTTTTTTTTTTTTTGATAAGAGTATTTGTGTTGATGCAATAGCATCTTTCTCCATAGAACTTACTCAGATGCCCTTCCTGGAGCCAGTGCCTGCACTCCATGAACTGCTGGAGAGGTCATTGTAGGGTATCGGCATCAGACCTCTCCTCATTTTTCAATTCTCTCTCTCCTTTATAACAGATGTTGGTGCATTTTTTGAAGAAGGGATGTGGCTACGATATAACTTTCAGGCACCAGCAACAAATGCCAGAGACTCCAGCAGCAGAGTAGACAACGCTCCCGACCAGCAGAACTCCCACCCGGACCTGGCACAGGAGGAGATCCGCTTCAGCTTCAGCACCACCAAGGCGCCCTGCATTCTCCTCTACATCAGCTCCTTCACCACAGACTTCTTGGCAGTCCTCGTCAAACCCACTGGTAAGGACAAGGATACCCAGCCTCTGCCATTTAACATTTGGGCAGACAGAATGTTCTAGCAAGAGTCTATAGATTGTTCTTGGTTTGTTATTTATTCCCCATAGGCTTTTTTAAGCAAGTCACATAACTTCTTTGAACCCCATTTCTCTCCATGAATATCAGGAAAACAACTTGCCAGCTGGGTGTGTTAGAGCAAGGTGTTAGAGTAATAATGTTGGTGAGGCATGTTGCGTTCTTTACAAGAATGCTGTTGCATGAATAAGAGATATGTTTGCATGTGTAATGATTATTTTTTCTCCCTACTAAATAAACACATTTGGCTGGACACTGTGGCTCACGCCTGTAATCCCAGCACTTTGGGAGGCCAAGGTGGGCGGATCACTTGAGCTCAAGAATTTGAGACCAGCCTGGCCAATATGGCGAAACCCCATCTCTACAAAAAATACAAAAATTAGCTGGGTGTGATGGCACATGCCTGTAGTCCCAGCTACTCAGGAGGCCAAGATGGGAGGATCACTTGAGCCCAAGATGTCAAGGCTTATAGTGAGCCATGATCGTGCCACTGCACTCCAGGCTGGGCAACAGAGTGAGACCCTGTCTCAAAAGAAAAAAAAGACTAATAAGAAAGACTAATAAAACATAAATACATTCACTAAATGTGCTAAACAGAGATGGGCTTTGAATGAGTAAAATTAATTTTACATAAATTAATTTTATCCTGATTTATGATAGTATACCAGTAGGTTGTTACAGAACATCTGAACTTTCAATAGGAGTAGAAAATCAGAAATGTCTTCATTCCCAATCCTCTCAGAACTTTAAATTCACAAAGTGTATCCCTGTCATAAAGGTTGCTTAAAGCAGGAGTTTATTTTAATTTTTTTTGAAACAGGGTCTTGCTTTGTTGCCCAGGCTTGAGTACAGTAGCAGGATCACAGCTCACTTCAGCCCTAACCTCTCAGGCTCAAGCGATCCTCCCACCTCAGCCTCCCAAGTAGCCGGGATCACAGGCACATACCACCACTCCCAGCTAATTTTTTTAATTATTTGTAGAGTTGGGGGTCTCACGATGTTGCCAGGCCTGGTCTTGAACTCCTGGACTCAAGCGATCCTCCTGCCTTGGCCAAAGTGCTGGGATGACAGGCATGAGCCACCATGCCCGGCCCAGGGGTGTATTTTTACTTGTAATATCCTGGGCCATCTTGGTCGTCAAACACACATTAAGCCAGAGAGGATCTGAGTGCACCTAAAATTGGCATCCTGAGGAGAATATGCAAATGGGCTTGTGACCCTTCAGCAGTGACCTCTGAGAGACATCTAAGAAGCCCTGGAGTGTACAAACTTGCTGAACTTGAGAAGTCCACTTCCTCTCTGAAAATGAACTCATATACCTTAGAATTCTAAGATCACTCTTTTTTTTTTTTTTTTTTTTTTTTGGAGATGGAGTCTCGCTCCATCACCAGGCTGGAGTGCAGTGGCGCAATCTCGGCTCACTGCAACCTCCGCCCCTCGAGTTCAAGCAATTCTCCTGCCTTAACCTCCTGAGTAGCTGTGATTACAGGCCTGCACCACCACGCCTGGCTAATTTTTGTATTTTTAGTAGAGACAGGGTTTCACATGTTGGCCAAGACAATCTCAATCTCTTGACCTCGTGATCCACCTGCCTTGGCCTCCCAAAGTGCTGGGATTACTGGTGTGAACCACTGCGTCAGCCCTAAGATCACTTTTTTAATGAATAAAAATATTTTAAGAGCATGCAGGAACAAATCTCTCTAACTCACTTCCCATTGGAGCCGAAAATATGGAGACTCTCTCTCCCACTGCCCATTGTTTCCTGCCCTTCAGTGATTATTCCACTGTTATGGCATCTTAAAGAGCAAGAATTTTGGCTGGGCACTGTGGCTCATGCCTGTAATCCCAGCACTATGGAAGGCTGAGGCAGGAGGATTGCTTGAGACCAGTAGTTCAAGATTAGCCTAGGCGACATAGCAAGACACCATTTCTACCAAAAATAATTTAAAAATTAACTGGGCATGAAGGTGCACACTTGTGGTCTCAGCTGCTCAAAAGGCTGAGGCAGGATGATTGCTTGAGGCCAGTAGTTCAAGACTAGCCTGGGCAACATAGCAAGACTCCATCTCTACCAAAAATAATTTTAAAATTAACTGGGCATGGTGAGGCACACCTGTGGTCCTAGCTACTAGAAGGCTGAGGGGGGAGGATCGCTGGAGCCCAGAAGTTGCTGGAGCCCAGAAGTGCAAGGCTGCAGTGAGCTATGATCACGCCACTGTACTCCAGCCTGTATAACAGAGCAAGACCCTGTCTCTAAAATAAAATAATTTAAAAAAAAAGAAAAAAGGAGATCAAGATTTTTCCCATGGGAGCTAGAACTGTTATTACTAACTTAATTCAGCTTGAGTTTTAAAAAAACAGTAAATTAAACTCCCTCTCTAGGAAATGCACTGTTGCTTAAAAAGATGGAGGAAAAAGTATGTTCCCTAGTATTTTCCCCTTCTGAAATTATTCCTAAAGAAATAAGCCAAAAGTCAAAGATTCATCATGAAGATGTTCATCATAATGTTTCGTTTTGTTTTTTGAGACGGAGTCTCGCTCTGTCGCCCAGGCCGGAGTGCAGTGGCATGATCTCGGCTCACTGCAAGCTCTGCCTTCCAGGTTCACACCATTCTCCTGCCTCAGCCTCCCGAGTAGCTGGGACTACAGGCGCCTGCCACAACGCCCGGCTAATTTTTTGTAATTTTAGTAGAGATGGGGTTTCACCGTGTTAGCCAGGATGATCTCAATCTCCTGACCTCGTGATCCGCCCGCCTCGGCCTTCCAAAGTGCTGGGATTACAGGCGTGAGCCATCGTGCCTGGCCAACATCATAATGTTAACTATGAAAATAAAAATTGAAAAGAATCTGAAAGTTCAACTTTTAGTAAAATAGTAAAAGAGGGAGTTGCCATTTTATGGAATATTATGTATCTATTAAAATATTTATGAATCGTGATTAATGATATGGGGAAATTTTATGTATGTTAAACCAAAAAAACATGAACAAGATCCAGCCTTGAATGTGAAATATTAGCTCCATAAAAAATATAGGGATAGAAAAAAAAAAGCAATAATGTGAACACAAAAGTGTTTGGTTGGATTGTGGATGATTTTTTTTTCTCCTGAGCAGTACTTTTGTATGCATGTCAAATGCTTTAATCAGAAAGATGAAAACAGTAAGTAAAATCAGAAAGTGAGGATGAAAGAGAGAGAAGTATGGAGCCCCTGGTCTTCAGGAGTTCATCAGTTTATTTCTCCTGGATCAGGGTCAATAGGTTTTTTTGACCCACTGATGTTCACTACCCACATGGACCAGCCTCCCACTGGGCAGATAAGAACCTTGGGTTTCTTCTCAGGTCCCTCCCCAGGAGGAGGGCTCTCACCCAGAGACTGTCAAGAAGTTGGTGAACACATTCCCACACATACTTTTATTGTCTGCTCCTCGAGTCACTGCCACACTAGATTTGGTCCTCAACTGTATTCGCTACCTCACATGCCCACTGCTACACACCCACCGCTGCTGTGCCTTCATCACCTGCCACTGCTGTGCCCTCATGCCTGTGTGAGGACTTTCATTGTCTTCAAGGGCGTTGATCAATGGATTCTGTATTAATGGCCACCATTTAATGAAGCTCACTTTGTGCCCAAAGCCATCCTGAATGGTGCCATGCATTAATTCCCATGAGCTGCACAACTCTATGAAGTAGATACTATTATTATTTCCTTTCTACTGATGGCAACACATGAGTGCATGGAGGTTGAGTGCCTTGCACACTCAGAGGATGTTGGGCCAGGCTGGGGTTTCTCAGCCTGGGTGTCCGATTCCAGACCCAAAGCTCCCCACCGGCTGTACTCTCCAGGGCAGGCATCTCTGGAACTCTCAGTGTTCTTGGAAGGCAAAGCTGGGTGGGTTCTGTCTCACTGTTACAAGACTATCCTCAAACTGCTGGTGAAAATTCAGCTTTTTCAGACTTCAAATACAACATGTTTTTATTATTTGAAGTTTAAAGTTAGAAAAAAAAGGAAATCATTAGGAAAAAACATCAGTAAGGTCTACGCCAAAGTATCAGGAAAAAGCTACTAGAAAGTCTCCACTAAACACCCTGGCATCACTCACATTTCACATATCGAAAGCTCTGCTCACTGTCCTCCAGAACCAGCTGCCCCCAGCACCACCACTGCCCATCAGACACTTGTGTTCCCAAGGTCAGTGTCACTCACCAGTGCTCCGTTCTTCCCTGCTTTTGTGGGTCACCCAGGCAAACAAGTCCTGTGAATTGAACTCATGGTGTCCTTTTCCTCCCCACCACTACTCTCTGAGGCAAATATCTTTTAATTCCCAGTAGTGTTTACGTCATGGTGTCCATAGAAAATTATTATATTTGAATGGTACCAGGGTAAATGGATGAGGTCATGTTTTGGAGGCCACCTGCCCAGTGACTCCAGCTGCCATCCCCTTCTTCATGTCTGCCACGGTGTGAGGGGAGCCTTGCTCCTGGTACCCCATCACCCATCTGTAGGACAGCCGTGGGCTTCAGCTTGTTGGCTGGGAAATTCTCTCCCAATCCATCTCTCTGCTTCCAGATTCTCCCCCTCACCCTTTTTCACCACAGCCAGCACCGCCTGCCTTTATAGGGTGTCTTATTTTCTGTTGCTTGTAACAGAATACGTGAAACTGGGTAATTTATAAAGAAAAGGAATTTATTTCTTATAGTTATGGAGGCTAAGAAGTCTGAGGCCAAAGGGCCAAACCTGGTGAGGGCCTTATTACTGGTGGGAACTCTCTGCAGTTCTGAGACAGTGCAGGGCATGACATGGCGAGGTTAAGCTGCCAGCTCAGGCCTCTCTTCCTCTTCTTATAGACAGTCCCACTCCCATGAGAACCTGTTAATCCATTAACCCATTAATCCATGAATCTATGAATGGATCATTCCATGAATCGATGAATGGATCATTCCATGAATCGATGAATGGATCATTCCATGAATCTATGAATGGATCATTCCATTCATGAGGACAGAGTCCTCATGATCCAATCACCTCTTAAAGGGCTCACCTCTCAATATACCCATATTAGGGATTAAGTTTCAACCTGAGTTTTGGAGGGGATATTCACACCATAGCATAGGGATATTGCTTAAAAGGGATCTTGTATAATGTCTTTATTAAACACTCAGTGGTGCCCCACTCCAGCAAAACCAGGAGAGACTCCTCAGTGCCACAAACTTTTAAGTTTGAGACCCACCAAGCTCATGGGTGAGATGGTGGCCTGTAGAGCTGGACCGTCTGGGTTTGAGGTCGGCTTTGCCTTTTGTCAGTTGTCTTGGGCAATCAGTTGGCAGCTCCATGCCTCTGTTTGCTCATCCATAAAATAGTGTCTCCCTCACAGGAGTGTTGTGAAACTCAAATGACAATATGCATGTGTCAACAGTTATTATTTCCCAGGTCCACGGATTCAATCTACATTCTAACGCATATTCAGCAACCCCTACTCTTCGTTTTGAGAAACTCATTACCCCTCAAGCACTCTGTGGTCATATGTGCACCTGACTTTATGCCTGCAATACTCCCTTACCTAGAAATGCCCCAACTTCCTCTCTAGCCAGACACCTGCCTTTCATTCTAGGCTGAGATCAAGTCCCACCTCCTTTTGATGACTTCTCCTTGCTTTAAACTCCTATTCCACTTACTTTCAATGTCATTTGTTTGGCATTTAATGTACTGTATTGTTATCTGTCTCTGTGATAAATATGCCCTGTCTTCCCAGAGAGATGAAAAGCTCCCAGCACTACATCTCCTGCCTACGATCAGTACCCTGTAAGTGTGTGCTGATGATAATGATGATGACCAGGAGAGAATAAATCTGTTAAGCATGTTATTTGCTGCATCCAATAAAAGAGAAGTCCCTTATAACTGCTTTAATTCACTTGGGAGATGAACATGAGACACAGAAGTGAAGCACCTCAGCATTTGAATAATGTTTTATTTTAATGGACAAATACTAGCATTCTTCCTACCATCATTTAGCGGTCCTCTTCTGCTGTTATCTGAAAGGAATAAATACATCATTTAAATTGGATTATTCAAGAATATCACCATTACTGTTTATAGATAGTCACTATATATAAATTTAAAGTTCCAACTCATCTTTCTTTCTCAAAGCCAATAATTTCTGCTGCCATTAAGTGAAGCAGTTATAGGAATTTAAAATCATATTTACAAAGTCCAAGAAGGACAGAAAAGAAAAAAAAGAGAAAACAATGCTGATTTTAATAGAGCTGAGGAACATAAAGGGGCCAGTGACAAAGTGACAGCAGAGAGGAAAATGTCCAGCGTTTTGCATAATTGCCGGTTCCTCCGACCTCTAGGCCTCTGTGTGTTTGTATCCTCAGAGCCACACACATATTGCCTGACCCATGCCAGGGGATGGGCATGGCTGTATGTGTTATAAGTGGACTCTACACTTGTAACCAGGCAGAAAGCCTATTTTCAGACCTTTAAAAAAAAAAAGCTGTGCTTTGCACAGGAACTAAATATATGTGTTCTGAAGAAATGAATAAGAGATGAATCAAGGCAGCTGTATATTTAAGAAAACTGGCTGGGATGATATGATGTCAGAGCACCAGAAATAAGGCAGAGAGTAAAAACCTAAGACAATCAACGTGTTTTTTCTGCGTGTTGCCAAACAACTGCCTGATCATCTCCGTCATTCCCAAACAATGGACTATTTTAATGCTATTGGGTAAAGGAAAAACCGAGTAAACACTGAGGGGTGGAGAGAGAAGCAGCTCAAGAAGTAGGAGCAGCATATTCAAAGGCCCTGAGGTAGGAGGAGATCGTATTTTCTAGGGAATAAGAGAAGTTCGTGGTAGTTTGAATGTAAAAAGTGACAGTGAGTGGTATGACTTGAAAATAAAGTAGCAGGAGGAATGCACATCAGACAGGGCATTGCAACCGCTATTTGGAAAGTACATCTTTATTCTGTAAAGAATTGGAAGGCTTTGAAGGATTTTAAATGACCCAATAAAATAATCAGTTACACATTTTGAAAACATGGGGAAGAAGACGGTACAGAAGCAGGGAGACTGTATTCATCTGTTCTCACGCTGCTATGAAGAAATACCTGAGACTGGGCAATTTATAAACGAAAGATTTTCATTGACTCGCAGTTCCGCATGGCTGGGGAGGCCTCAGGAAACTTACAGTAATGGTGGAAGGGGAAGCAAGCACGTCCTTCTTCACATGGCGGCAGGAGGGAGAAGTGCAGAGCAAAGGAGGGAAAGGCCCCTTATAAAACCATCCGATCTCATCACAACTCAGTCACTATCATGAGAACAGCACAGAGGTAACCACCCTCATGATTCAGTTACCTCCCACTGGGTCCCTCCCATGGCACATGGGGATTATGGGAACTACAATTTAAGATGACATTTGGATAGGGACACAGCCAAACCATATCAGAGACCATTCAGTCATTTATTCAACAAATATTTATTCCACTCCTACTGTGCATCAGGCACTATTCTAGACATTGGGAATAGTCATAAAGAATAGAAACAAAAATTCTTGCTCTCATGGAGCTTATCTTTGAATAGGAGAAGACAGACAATAAACAAATTGGTACAATCTATAGTATGTTGTGTGCTAAGAACTGTTATGGGGAAAATATGAGGCAGAAAAGGGAGGGCCTGGCCAAGGGGAAGGAGAGGGTAAATTCCACTTTTAATGAGGAAGTCACAGAAATGATCACTGAGAAGAGGACATGAGAGCAAAGACCTGAAGGAGTGAGGGCATAGCCATGCAGAGACCTGGGGAATGAGCATCCTGAACAGAAGAACCGGTGACTGCAAAGGCCCTTGGGTAGGAACAGGAAGCCAATGTGGATGGTGAGGAGTGAGCAAGGAGGAGAGTAACAGGAGGTTAGGTCAGCAATAATGAGGAGATCATATGGGGCCTGGTGAGCCATTGCAAGAAGTTTGATTTTTACTCTGAGACGGGGAGTTACTGGGATTTTGAGCAGAGGATCACTCTGACCACCGTGTGGTGAGGACACTGTGTATCTCAGGGTCAGAGGCCCAGTGGGATCAGGGAAGGTTGGAGAAAGGACAAAAGCTAGTATAATCCCAGCAAAAGACACTGGTGGCTTGGTCCAGGGGGTAGAGATGGAGATGGCGACAAGTGGTAAGATTCAGGGCATATTTTGAAGATCAAGCCAAGAAGACTTGGTGTCAGATGACACATGTCATATAGGAGAAAGAGGACAGTCAAGGCTTTTGGCAAGAATAACTGGAAGGATGAATTGGCAATTCACTGAAATGTGGAAAACTGCAATGGAATACTTTTGGGGAGAGAAGATGGATGTTCTGTTGCATATGTTATGTTTGGGGTTGCCAGTAAGATATCTGAGGGAAAATATCAAGTAGACAGTTTGTGAAAGAGTCTCCTCAATGCCACTGTGTCTCCTCAAATGAATGTGCTGAAAAGTTATTTAACTCACTCTTAGTAAGAAACTACTCCTAGAATTTATTCATTAATTTTCAAATGATAATTTCACACTTCTTGACTGGAATATCATTTTGAAGATTGCTGATAAGTACAGGTGTTTCTGTAGCTTATTAATAAAAATATGCTATTATTAAAAAAAAAGAGTCTGGAGTTCAAGAGAGAAGTCTGACTAGGGTATGAATGTGGTGTCTGATGGGCATACACCTTATTCAAAGGTCCTACATAGGATAGGATTGTTGGAGTAGGTAGGTAGACACACGAGCAGGGCAGAAGAGGGTGCCCCCTCCCACCAACCACCAAGAATGTCAGACAACCATCAGGTGATGGTCAGGCAGTTGCTAAACTGTCTCTCTCTAAAATGATAATTGGCTGCAGCTGGCACCAAGGAACGACCGTCTCCCAATAGATAGAAAACATCTGGAGCTGGTGATCAGCAGCTTCCCAATCAGATCTCAGGAGTTGGGCAAGCGGGCCCAAGCATGCACACTAAGAGGCAAAATGATGGAGTTTAACGGGTATATGACCTTCCTCTAGGAACACTCAACTGGAAAGGGGAAAAAAAATGCCTCAAATGAGCATGCGCACTACTTCAGTAAACACCTGTGCATGCAGCCCCTCCCACGTGCTCGCAGGCCACTGCGCATGCAGACAGCCCGCCCCAAGGGAAGAATCAGGGGAGAAGAAACCAAACCCCAGAACTATGCCAATGTATAAAACCCCAAATCAAGGGCCAAACAGGGCACTTGGATCTCTCAAGTCGCCCGCTTGGCCCTCTTCCAAGTGCACTTCCTTTCTAAAACTTTTTAATAAACTTTCACTCCTGCTCTACTAAAACTTGCCGCAGTCTCTCCCTCTGCCTTAAACCTACTTCTGCCCCTCAAGCCGCATTCTTTCCTCTGAGGAGGCAAGGATCAAGTTTGCTGCAGACCCTTTGGGATTTTCCTTCAGTAACAGGATCACCATGGAAACAGGCCTGAATACAAAAGAGAATATGCTTCAGGGCTGGTCTTTGGGGACTGCAAGAGTAAGGTGCCCCAAAACGAGGGGAAAAACAGGTAGAGAAGGAAAACCGAAAGAGTGTGTGCTGGAAGCCAAGTGTTCCCGGGAGGTGAATGAATTCTGTGCCGAGTGAAGATGAGGCCTGAGAGGGACAATTGCCTCTACTTCCCCAAGGGTCACGGGCCCAGCAAGAGACCGTGGAGCAGGGAAGACAGAAGTGAGACAGAGGGCTCATGCTAAAATAGGGACGGGTTTGGAGGCAGCAAGTGTACCCATCTCTTTTCATGGGGTTCGGAGCAAAGAAAAGCAAAGGATAAGAGGCCTCACTTGAGAGTGAAATGAGGTCAAGAGCAGTAATTTTTAAAGAGGAGGCTGACTAAGACCCACCATCTTCTGCAATCCAGGCAGAAGATGGTGCAGGTAAAGCACAGGTGAGGATGAACCAGGAGCTCTGTGTGGAGCTGCCTCAGCCAGGGAGCAGGCTCCCTCTGGAATTCACACAAGGACACTGTGGGTGCCAACAGAAAGCCTGTGGTTACCGAAGTGGAAAAGAGTGAGGGAATTTAGATAGATTTAGGAGACGAAAATCCAATCCACGGTGCTTAGTTGAAATGCCAGGGGCAAAGGAGTCTAGGATGACATTCTAAGGTAAAACTCAGAAATAGTGAAGGTTTGTTGAATTTCGTTTAGAAAACAAATATAGGAAATGTAATTAGCTCTTGATTATTCTAACAAATGTTCCTTTGAAATCCAGGAACATGGCAAGTGTAATGTTAGGATGCCTAAATAAGGAAGAGCACAGCGTGTGTGTGTGTGTGTGTGTGTGTGTGTGTGTGTGTGTGTGTGTGTGTGTGAAAGTCTGGAAGGAGCTACTCCCAAGATGTTTAGAAAAATTATCTTTGGGTGGTGGGATTTCAGGTGACTTTCTTTTATTTTTTTTCTGTTTACTTTCTATGTTTTAATTAGCATGTTTTATTTTGTAACTTAAAATCAGAATATCAGTTTTGTTCCCCTAAAAAGGAAATGAAAGGTGACAAATAATCCATTAGGTGATTTGCAGTTGGTCAAATTCTTGCTAGATTGCTGGCTCCATTTTTAAGCTCTGAGATATCAACATGAAAATTCCAATTTGAGTAACAAATGAGATAAAATATTGATGTCTTTAAAACTCATAACTAAGATATAATATTTATGCTTGCAGATTAACTAAAAGCAGGATCTACATTGTCATATTAGTTATTTTCAATATTGTTTTTTATTGTTGGGACGAAGCAAGGAGGAAAAAAAGAATATACTGTTGAGGCAAAGTGAACTATCATTGAGGGCAAAAAGGGACTCAGGGGACCAGGGAAAGCCATCTTTCCTGTTGATTTGCATTTGATTAGTCTGTAAGCTAAAATAAAATTTATTACTTGGTCTCAATGAGGCCACCCAAAATCTCATCTTTAAGAACTATGTTTGGCCAGGAGCGTCGGCTCACGCCTGTAATCCCAGCACTTTGGGAGGCTGAGGCTGGCAGATGACGAGGTCCGGAGATCGAGATCATCCTGGCTAATACGGTGAAACCCCGTCTCTACTAAAAATACCAAAAAAAAAATTAGCCCAGCGTGGTAGCGTGCGCCTGTAGTCCCAGCTACTGGGGATGCTGAGACAGGAGAATGGCGTGAACCCGGGAGGCGGAGCTTACAGTGAGCCGAGATCGCGCCACTGCACTCCAGCCTGGGCGACAGAGCGAGACTCTGTTTCAAAAAAAAAAAAAAAACTATGTTTATTTTTAATATTGTATGCTCATGATTCTTTTATATGCCCAATGTCACACTTTGCTGACGGGGTGAGAACATCCCTGCACTCTGCATTTATTTTTTTATTTCACATAGTGTTTCGTGGGACCTGCAGATGTCTCCTCCCTGCAGTCCTATATTGTATATGCTCTCATTCTTTGTGTCCAGGCATAATCCCAACTTGGATCATTTAAACTATTTGCATCTTCAACTTTGAGACGACAGTCACTGAAGTTCACTGTGGGCAGATTGTAAATATGTGCGAGCCTGGTGCTGTCAGCCGATATGGGTCAGTAGGCCTCTGAGCTCGTGAATCCAAATTCAAATATTGAATGTTATCTGTGGACATCAAGGGAGGGAGTAAAGTTTAACAGAAATTGGATGGGCATGGTGGCTCACGCCTGTAATCCCAGCACTTTGGGAGGCTGAGGCGAACGGATAGCCTGAGGTCAGAATTTCGAGACCAGCCTGGCCAGCATGGTGAAACCCCCATCACTACTGAAAATACAAAAATTAGCCAGGCGTGGTGGCAGGTGCCTGTAATGCCAGCTACTCAGGAAGCTGAGGCAGGAGAATCGCTTGAACCTGGGAGGCAGAGGTTGCAGTGAGCCAAGATCGCACCATTGCACTCCAGCCTGGGCAAGAGCAAGACTCCGTCAAAAAAAAGAAAGAAAAGAAAAGAAAGGAAGAAAGAAAGAATCTAAGAGCAGGAATTGAGGGGATGTGACATTAAAATGAAATTTAGGGCAAACAAATTACTGAGCTTTCTTTTTTCTTCTATAGGAAGCTTACAGATTCGATACAACCTGGGTGGCACCCGAGAGCCATACAATATTGACGTAGACCACAGGAACATGGCCAATGGACAGCCCCACAGTGTCAACATCACCCGCCACGAGAAGACCATCTTTCTCAAGGTATACATACATGTACATATAAATTACATATAATATCGCATTATAGTCCCTGTCCCTATAATGCTTGGCCATTGGTTTTGTTTTGAGGGGATAGAAGTAGAAGAGATGCTTTTTACACTTTCTCCTACAAGTGCATAACTAGTGAAGTAGAAATATATATAATTCTGACAAGGAAAGACAATGATGAAGTTGAAGACATCTTTTAGGGGGAAATAGAATAAATGTTTATTCCGTATAGTCTTTCTGGTTTTCCCAGTTCTAGATCCACATATCTATCAATTTACTGCTTTTATCCATTGCACCATCTTTCTTCGCCAAGCTCTCAGACATCTGAAACTTACCGTGTTTCCCAGCAAAGGTTATTTTGGTTTCTCCGACCTACTTCTTTCACTGCTCCAACACAATACAAAGAGCTGTATTTTTCTCTCTCTCTCTGCAGAGCCTTTGTCTTAAAAATCCTCAAAACAGTCTTTCCCCAGAATCTCAGACTCTGACTGTGGGCTTTCGGCACACAAAGGGATGGTTTTATTATGACACTCAAATTTTACTTCAGGTTCATTGACGACCCCGGCCCTCACCACTGATTTTTACAGTGAAGAAACCAGCTTGGGAAACACCATGAATAAAACATAATGTGAGGAGGTCTCCCTGGGAGCTAGGCCAAGACATCAAGGATGGGAACTGTCACTGCATTCTCTAGAAGGAGTTCAAAATAGATGCCTGTCAGGAGAAAGAACAGCAGGAGGATGCTGTTTTGTCAGTAAAGTGGAGTGTCATTTGGCAGGGGTTCAGCAGCCTCTCAGACCTCATTCTGATTCGGCTGGATGCTGTGGGAAGTTCAGGTTGCAAAGAAAAGGCACAAGCCCTATCTCTTTTGAGCACTGGTGGATGTCAGATTCATAACTTGATATGGAGTTTGCGCGTGGCCTTTAGCAGTAAATGCTAGAGGGCATTTTAAGGAGAGGCCTTTCCTAGGAAACTGACATGCACTGTTTCAGCTTACTGCGCCATCAATCAAAGGTGGCATAATAAGGTTCTCTCATCATGGTCGACAGAGTCCCAGAGCCCAGCACAGTACCTGGCACACATTAGGGGTGACAAATTCTTTATGGAGTAAACCAAGCCCATCTTTAACCAAGTTTTAGTCAGAAAAGCCAGCAAGTCCAGGAGACAGATCGTTTTACATCATTTCATCAACATTGTCTCCCTCGGCTTTTGATTAGAGACTTTTTCCATTTTAAGCCACCCAATTTGTCACCTCTTTTAAAGAAAGTGACTTATCTTGCCATTTTACCATTGCGAAATAATACTAAAACTTAAAAAGACCTAAACAATGGCTTTTCAGACAGTATAACAGCAGAGACCCACCACAGCCATAGAATCGTATACAGTTTACCCTCACTCTCTGCCACAGTGAATTAGAGAAAGACTTGAGGAAGGGGAGAGGAGTGGATGATTTTTAAGACTTGGGGCTTTGGAGGCACAGAAAGCCAGAGATATAGACAGTGGAGCAGCCAGAGACCTGCAGAGAATCCAGGGGATGAATGGGTTTGGGGGAGGGTCTGGTTCTATTGCCCAAGACTATTTTGGTTGCAAATGATAGAAAAGCAATTCAGAAGTAATTTGTTGGGGAAAATTCCTAGGGTAGGTCATAGAATTATAGAATTTGAAAAAGATAAAACCAAACTTTGGGAAGAGAATCTAGGGAGCCTGGAGAATTAAAACTGTGGACTAGAATACCACTAGGTTTCTCTCTCCCTTCCTTCCTTCCCTCCCTCTTTTTCATTCTCATCTCTGCCTCTCTCTGAAGACTGGATTAATTACCTCTTACTGCATGCTCCATCTTTCACATATCCTAGGCCATAGTCACAGGAGTACTGGGCTCATGTCTTCCCAATTTTGTTACCGGAAGAAGGGGTCCTAGTTTCTTGACACTCATTTTAAAATCCCAGGGAATCTCTGATAGGCCTGGTTTGAGTCACGTGCTCACCTTGTTGGGTGGAAGGGGGAACAAAGACCCATAGTCCCTAATCACATCTCTTGATTAGAGTGGGGAACTTGGGAAACTCCCTCAAAAGAACAGAATGCAGTTCCAGAAAAAGGAAGGAGATAGGACGACAGGAGTGAAAATTTTGGATGCACGATTCTGAGGTAGGAGAGGAGAAAAACCTGGGAAGTGCTTCCTCGATTCCGCCCTAGGTTCTGCACCTGGAAGTGTTGGGAGATCCAGCTCTCCCTCCTTCTCTGTCATGTAATGTAACTGACTGCAGTAAGATTTCTGAATGTCCCAACCCACGTGAGGGCAACTAGGAAAGATGTCACGGCCTGGGGAGCTCCAATCTCTCAGCCCAGCCTGTCCCATCTACCCTGGGACCTGCCCACCACTGAGGGCAAAAAGAAAGTAAAGATAGAGGTGGTGGAGGAAGACAAGATGTAGTTCCTCCTTATGGAAAAGCAGATCCCAGGGCTTCTCACTCCCATGCCCCACTTTCTTTCATGCAGGGAGGCCTTGCAGACGTGGAAGTAATTCGGAAAGTGCTTTGCAACACCAAATAACACTGCAATTTTTTCTTAAAACAATCTAAAAATCCATCTTGAGAACTTCTACAGCCTCAACTGTGTGTGGAAAGAGATATAATAAAATGTTCACAGTGATCATCTGTGTGTGAAGGGATTATCAATGGTTTGATTTCCTCTAGAGTTTTCTATTTCCCCATTTTCTATTATAAGCACATGCTGCATTTTTATAATCAAACAGAAATATGAAACAGCCATATATTCTCAACCTATTCTGGTAGTCCCCAGTTATAATAACATATGATAACAAAGGCATTTCAATAATTTCAAATTAATATTTATTTATTTATAGTCAAAGAACAAAAATAAGGCTAATGCAAAGATGAATGGTAGATCACAGTGCTGTGGAATGATGTCTTTGGAATTAAGGTGAATGTTGATGCATTTATACATGCTCAAACATATAATTTAGATGATCCTCATCAGTGTTTATGGTGTCTTTAAAAGCAGGTTTACTTTCGTAGCTGGGTTTGGCTAAAGCTAACATTAAATTAATCTGCATTCCCTCAGCACACACCCTGTGAAACAGCACTGAGCACTTGAGGGAAACTGACCTTGGATGAAACATTTGCTGCCAAAAGACAAAGTACCCAGTCTCCACATAGATAACAGGGAACTGACTGTAGTAGTTATCAGACACCAGCGTGAACCAGAACCCATGGCATACCTCCAGTGGCATCATTTGTGAAAACTCACAGTCGCATCAGGGAGAATAGCTTAAGGCTTAATGCCAGTCAAAATATAAACAAACAAGGTGCAGCCAGAGAGCACCTGAAAAAGTCTGGCATGCAGTGAAAAATTATGTCAATTAGCATGAATCCAAAAGCGAAACATTCTAATCAACAATTCCAAAGCCTTGTGCAACTAACCCTTTCTTCTTCCTTTCCTTCCTTCCGTCTTGCCATCCATGTTTCTTTTCCTTCCTATTTTTTCCTTTCTCTCTTCCCAACCACATTGCACAAGGGATCTAAGGGGGTTTACAGGGAGAATATTAAATGAAATAGAGAGTTAATGGAAGTCACAAAAAGTAAGTCCCCAAGATCGAGAAAATAGAACATGATTATCAGGTCACAAGGTCTTACCACTTGGATAAATTTGACTGTGAACTTCTCGGCAGCCAGAAGTATGCAACCCATAAGGATGAACTAAGCCAGTTCCTCTTGAGAATTGAACCTTTTGTTATTATATCATTTTTATTTTATTTAATTCCATGGATTGTATTTACTGACATAGAAAATGCCCATAGCATACTCCACTTATACAACATCACATACACGATAACAGCTCACATGTATTGGTGCTTACTGTGTCCAAGGCAACGTGCTAAGCACTTTAGACACATTTTCTCATTTAGTCATCACAAAAACTTTATGAAGTATGTGCCATCATTATTCCCATCTGATGTGTTTTGGAATGTGTCCCTGTCCAAATCTCATGTCAAATTATAATCCCCAATGTTGAAGGAGGAGCTTGGTGGGAGGTGATTGGACCATGGGGGTGGATTTCCCCCTAGATGTTCTTGTGATAGTGAGTGAGTTCTCATGAGGTCTGGTTGTTTAAAAGTGTGTAGCACCTCCTGCTTTGCCCTCTTCCTCCTTCTCAGGCCATGTAAGACATGCCTGCTACCCCTTTGTCTTCTACTATGATTGTAAGTTTCCTGAGGTCTCCCCAGCCATGCTTCCTGTACAGCCTGTAGAACTGTGAGTCAATTAAACCTCTTTTCTTTATAAATTACCCAGTCTCAGGTAGTTCTTTATAGCAGTGCAAGAATGGACTAATATACCATCTTAGAGATGTGGAAATTAAAGTTCATAAAGTAAGATGCAACCTGCCCAAAGTTAGAAAGCGGTAAATGGCCACAGCATAGTCGAACCCAGGTCCGTCATACTTCAAAGTGTACACAGGCTCTTAACCTTGCTTAATAGACAGATGTCTGGAAGGATGTTCACAAAATTTTAGAAGCAGATACCTCTGGCTGGTAAGAAATTAAGTGATGTTACTGTTATTACCATAAGATAGTTCAAAATATGCAAAAACACAGAGAATAATAAACCATATGCTATGTACCCACCATTGAAACATTACAAATTTCGACATTTTGCCCTATTTCTTCAGATTTTTTTAAACACAGCAACAATTAAGAGTCTGTTGTCCTCCTGGTTACATAGTGGGCCCCAATAAAAGTCAGAGTCAATGCCCTCAGCAGCATTTCTGCAAATGTATTTGTTACAAGGCTGTTAGATGCTGAAGCTCCTTGGGAAAGTAAAGCTTCCCATTTTGAATTCAGCCCAAACAAGTCTGTAGAGAGTGAGGTAGAGCAGGATGATGGACAGATGAAGAGGCCAAAGGCTGAGATGATGCAGCTTTCTGAAATTTTGAACTGATCCTAGGATAAAACTAGCTGGAAAATGATAATGAATAAACTACATGTTCTTTGAATAATTATCCATGACAATCACACATTTTTGGGTTTAGATGTGAGTTAGACAATAGAGAGTTCAGGGATATATTCTCTGGCACAGATACTCGGAATCCATATTCTCTACAAATCAAATGAACAGATGGTAAGGATGTATCATTTTGGCTTTCATCTAACTAGAGGGCCATCTTATCTTTGCCAAGAAGAAGCTAACAGATTTTCTGCAAGCAAAATAAGGCCTTTCTTAGAAAATAATTCTAGGTCCTCAGGAACAAATGATGATTAGATCCCCAAGTTCTTACACCAAAAAGAGGATGACTTTGATTATTTTCACTGGGAATTTTCAAAACAAATGTTCAAAAATATCACTGAATTCTGTTCTTTAAAATAATATAAGCACGGTAATTTCTTACCTGCTACTAATCTGAATTTCAACCAAATTGTATAAAAACAATTGCATCAATTGTTAATTGAACTAGGTCCTGTATATAAATCTTAAGAACTGTCAGAGAAGTGTCAAAAACATTAGCAACATGTAGTGTGCTAGGTGCTAGAAGTAGAAGAAAGGATACAAATATTAGGATGATGCCAGTTGCTATACAAATTAGCCCTCAAATGTCCATGTTTTAACCCAATAAAAGTCTGTCTTACATCAGATATATTTTCAGAAAAGGAAAGTTCTCTGGTCTCCAGCAGTGATGAAATTGTGCTGGGCAGGCACTCTGAGGACCTGCCACTGCCACCAACTTCCCTGCTTCCCCAACCCTGGATTAGGCCAAATTATTGTCCATTATTCTTGAAGCCCTCCTGGGCTCCATCCTCTGGGAGGCTCTTCCTTGTGTGTGTTCAGCCATGGCCTCCCCTGAATTATGTGCCGGATAATGTGCTCCTTACAGCTGTGCAGCAATTATTTTTTTTTTTTTTTTTTTGAGACGGAGTCTTGCTCTGTCACCAGGCTGGAGTGCAGCGGCACGATCTTGGCTCATTGCAACTTCCACCTCCCGGGTTCAAGTGAATCTCCTGTGTCAGTCTCCCAAGTAGCTGGGAGTACAGGCGTGTGCCACCACGCCCAGCTAATTTTTTGTAATTTTAGTAGAGACAGGGTTTCACTGTGTTAGCCAGGATGGTCTCGATCTCCTGACCTCGTGATCCACCCTCCTTGGCCTCCCAAAGTGCTGGAATTACAGGTGTGAGCCACCGCGCCTGGCTACAGCTGTGCAGCTTTAAGGCCCATTTCCTGCAGGTTCAAATTACACTAAGGGTTTTTTACACTCATAAGCCTTTTGTGGACTAGATCTGTGCTTTCTTTTCCAATACAATTCCCTCAAAACCCAAGGTGGCTTCTGATCAATTTGCTTCTGGTAAGTTTCATGTGCTGGTAAATGCACCCTAAGCTCTTCCCTAGACATCAATCTTAGACTTACTCAATCATTTGCCTCCAGGCGCCCATGCCTCTCTCTCTCAAGGTAATGGCAGCTACTTTGGGGCCAGTGGACACAAAAGGCTTGGGTGGGAAGTAAAGACCCTTAATTTAAATGTTACCCGTGAGGCTAAGTCAGTTTGCTAAACAGAAATCTTACTGCCCCATTGTTGGTCAAAGCGGTTTGCAGTGTTATTTCTTACTCTCTAGTGTAAGGCTCTAAATATCTAGACTTTTTTCTATTCTTTTCATTGATTATTGGGAACTGGTCAATTCTTTCCTGAACTCATCTGCTCCATGACATGAGGAGCAAAAAGCAACTGACACACACGACCATTCTGTCTCTTTTGAAGAACTTTCCTTAAAGCTACTTAGGCATTTAGTCTGCCTTCCAGGTTATGTGAGGTGACAGTTTTACAAAATATTTTATTGCATACTATATTAGTCTGTCTTGCACTGCTATAAAGAAATACCTGAGACTGAGTAATTCATAAAGAAAAAAAAGGTTTAGTTGGCTCACAGTTCTGCAGGCTGTACAAGACGCATAGCAGCTTCTGCTTCTGGGGAGACCTCAGGAAGCTTAGATGGCAGACAGCAAAGGGAAAGTAGGCTTGTCTTACATGGCAGGAGCAGGACTGAGAGAGAGTGAAGGTGCTACGCACTTTCAAACAACCAGATCTCATGAGAACTCACATATTATCAGGAGAACAGCACCAAGAGGGTGGTGCTAAACCGTTCATAGAGCTCTGCTTCCATGATCCCATCAACTCCCACCATGACCTCATTTTGGACACTGGGAATTACAACTCAACATGAGATTTGAGCAGGGACACATATCCAAACCATATCACATACCATTCTTCCTCTGTCTTTCAAGTCCCTAATATTCATTCCTGCACCACCTGCCACCTTACCACAAAGCCAATGCTACATGTGTTAGGTTTCTGTTATAGCAGCACCCTGCCTTAAGATACCAATGTATGTATTCGTTAGGGTTGTATTCGCTGCTATAACAAAAAATCAGAGGCTTAATACAAATAACTTTCTTTCCCACATAATAGTAAAATGATTTCTAGTTGGAAATCGTAAGCAATATATAAATAGGCTGATAAAAAAGGTGTTTGTACTAATGTCCAAAAATAATAGAGTAAAAGACATTGTGGTTCTATGCTATAACTATAAGGCTTTGAAGGAAGGATAAGATGTTAACCTGTGAATGGGGGGCAAGAGAGGACATGGAAGAATATTTATTATGGAAGAGGGAGAAGGAGAGGGAAGATGTGTGTTCCAAAAGAGAACATGATGTTAAACAAAGATGCTAGCAGAGTGACTATTTCATAGATTTCATCCTGTCTCTATCTCATGAATAGAAAAGACCACTGGAGAAGACTCAGTAAAAAGTCTTACCTGGAGAAATTCTCACTCTGAAATATGTAACATCAAATGGTCTGAAGTCATTTATGAATATTGAATGCTGTAAAGTCAGTAGTCTGAGGCACATGCAGAGTGGTGTCAAAAATTGTTGGAAGAATTTTATCAGCAGCAAAATGAGAGTAATTCAATTATGGACTCCTAGGGCAGCACCAAATGTTAATTGACGTGAAACATTGGTGGCCGGGGGAGCCCTAGTTCACCACTTTCTATATGTGGAAAAGTGTACAATTGTAAGGACTTTCACATAACCTCCTCAAGCCCAGAGAAAAATCTCTGTAGACTTGAGAGGGCCTTAATGATCATGTTAGGTAGTGCTCAAAGCCCTTTCTTACATATCGAAATGCTTGCCCACATTGCCATTCTCAGCCTTATGAACTGGAAATAGCTGGTGCTATTAGTCCCATTATATACATGAGAAAACAGAGATTAAGAAGTCCCAGGCCAGGCGCGGTGGCTCACGCCTGTAATCCCAGCACTTCGGGAGGCCGAGGCGGGTGGATCATGATGTCAAGAGATCGAGACCATCCTGACCAACATGGTGAAACCCCATCTCTACTAAAAATACAAAAATTAGCTGGACATGGGGGTGCACGCCTGTAGTCCCAGCTACTCAGGGGGCTGAGACAGGAGAATCGCTTGAACCCGGGAGGCAGAGGTTGCAGTGAGCTGAGATCGTGCCACTGCACTCCAGCCTGGTGACAGAGCGAAACTCCATCTCAAAAAAAAAGAAGTCCCAATGATGAATAAGGTCCCAGTGCTCACAAGAGACATGATCTTCTCTAGAACCCAGCTAACCAGACCCCGTTTCCCCACTTAGTTTGCTCTTTGTTGTCTTTGCAAGTGGGCAAGAGAAGCAAGCTCACTCCTGTTCATTTGCCTTATAAACTTTTGAAATTTTTTAAAAATGTTTACGCAAAATTAAGTCTTTTGAGGATTTGTGTTTTCTTTGGAGTCACTAAAAGCAATGACTTTATAGCGTTTCGTAGGGGGTCATAAAACCCTAATTTTTATAATCAAAGAGAACTACAAGGTCCAACGTTAAGGCTAGTGTTTTTACAGCACACAGTATCATACACCCATAAAAATTCCATCTCATTCTTTAAGTAAATATGAACATAACCTCTTGTCTGTCCATTTTAGGATCCTTCTTTTCTGTAGAAACATGGAGCCCAGACTGAAATTAGATACTGAAGCTCAAATAAATTATTTAAAAATGTGTGCCTTTATTACCCTTGAACTTTCTGCCAATAAAGAACAATACTAACAAGCATATGGATGTAAACACTCCTAAAAATTTTACTATCAGAAGTTGTTCATGCCTTTATTAAGGAAAATAACACAGTTTGGAAGCACTAAATTTTTTAGGGATGTCAGAACAAATAAAGAAAGTTGACCTAGCTAGCCTAGGGCACTGCTCTTGAAATTACATTTACTGTAACTCCTTCCCTTTGGCTAATTTAGTTTTTATCTACTCTGGATGATAAACTCACAGCCTGGGTTGTGCAATACAAGCATGCTTGACAGAAGGCAGGCAATTGCAAGAATAATGATGAGCCATTTGAACACTCTGGCTTCTTCCCTTCCAGAAGAACTTTTACCTATTATAGCACTGGCTCTCTATTGGGATTCTTAGCAAGTGTATTAGCACTTAACTTTCCACTTTAATGAACGACTGACATGTATAATTCTATGGAGAGCATAGGCCAATATTTTATTAGTTTCTGATAGTATTACAATGGTTTGAGTCTATTGAACTGATATAGAAGATCTATGGGAAGAGAAGAGAGAGGGCTACATATATTGGGAAGTTGCCCATTAATTTGGTCTGTATATGAGTCAGAATTCATTTTTTCTTCTATATTTCTATGTATCCAGAGAAGCCTGTTCATGATTGAGAGACACATCAAAAACCTCATGACCTCATTAGCTTTTGTAATGTCGCCTCTGGTTTTGGGTTGAGCTATGGCTCCTCGGCCCCTGAGAAAGTATTTGAGCACGTTTTCATTATTTGGTTCAGAAAGTAGCAGTATTTGACAAAATGTTTCTGAAAAGAGGAAACAAGATGCCCAACTACCAGAGCCTCAGATTCCTCTCCCTCCCAGTACCTTCAAACCAGCTTGAAGTTTTAAACTCAGGCCACCTCCACACTGAGAGGTCTGGCCAGCCCGTATGCAAGGACATGGTTCCTAGGAGTGTGGTGGAGGCGTGTGGTGAAGATCCTGCTGAAGAAGACAGAAGGTTCTCAAGATGTCCAGGACTCTTCTGTTATCAATGTACTTCTCTTCTACTTAAAGCCACATGGGGTCCCTAAGAATTTAACATGATGATATCTAATTGACATTCTCTCTTACCCCTGCCTACCACTAAACCCACCACATGGTGAGAAAGTTCCAAACAGCAATCGTTTCTGAAGCCTGATTTGGATAAAACCAGATGGTCACCAAAACCATTCCATTAGGCCATTTACTGATGTGGAATGCAATTAAAATTGATTCCACTTTAATCAAAATAACTTTGAGGAGAACAAATATGTGCTGAGTATCTACAATATAAAAGAAATTTGGATAGATAATGATGAGTTGGTGGAACAGTAGGTGACTCATACAGGGATGAATAAAATGTATCTTTTACAACTCAAGGAGTTTATATTCTGGGAGGGGAGAAAAGATGTGTCCAGTCACTAGGCATTTTGTCAGATAATAGAAACCTGTTCCACCTACTTCTCCTCTAGAAGACAGTTTGACAAGTCTCCTTATCAACATGTAAATAATAAAAAGGGTATCCAGCAAAAGAGAATATTAGCAGTTTGGGGTGGTGATAAGGACACAGCACGTAACGAGATTTCCCCTTGAGGACAATGTCAGTGTAAACAGAGACCCCACGGATTACAAACTGTTGAATTCAGAGGTTATTATTAAGACATAAATTTAAAAGGGTCTTTATTGATAGGCTACCTTACTATATTAGGGCTCTCTAGCAGGACAGAACTAATAGGATAGATGCATATATAAAGGGGAGTGTATTAAGGAATATTGACTCACACGATCACAAGCTGAGATCCCACAGTAGACCGTCTACAAGCTGAGGACCAAGGAAGCCAGTCAGATTCCTAAAACCTCAAAAGTAGGGAAGCCAACAGTACAGCCTTCAGTCTGTGGTCGAAGGTCCAAGAGTACCAAAGCTGACGAATTTGGAGTCCAATGTTTGAGGGCAGGAAGCATCCCAGCATGGGAGAAAGATGAAGGCCAGAAGATGCAGCCAGTCCAGTCCTTCCACGTTCCCCTACCTGCTTTTATCCTAGCTGCACTGGCAGCTGATTAGATGGTGCCCACCCAGATTGAGGGTGGGTCTGCCTTTCCCAGTCTACTGACTCAAATGGTAATCTCCTCTGGCAACACCCTCACAGACACACCCAGGAACAATACTTTGCATCCTTCAATTCAACCAAGTTGACAGTCAGTATTAACCATCACACTTACTTAATAGCTCTGTGTTCTCTAGCAAGTTAATGAAATCTCTGTTGACTTAATTTCTAAAATTGGAGTAAGTCCATCTTTTCTAATGCAGTTTGTGTATGTTAAATGGAAATACAAAAAAAAATCTAGCATAGTCTATGACCCAATAAAACGGTAGTTTTCTTCCTTCATTCCCAATTCCCTTCTCTTTCTTAAAAGCAAAAAATAAAATAGCAGATGTCAGGATCAGTACCAACAGGCTCTTTGGGACTATGGTTTCTTTCCATTGATTTGTAGTTCAACCCATTAAGCATATTCTCAGCACCTAGTATATTCCCAGCATGCAGCATGGCTGTTGCCTCCATGAGCCCAGTCCAGTAGAAGAAAGACCATCAGTCATACAGATATGAACCAAGTGCCCATTGAAGTATAAGCTTGTGCTGTGGGAGCACAGAAAAGTAGGGGAATGAATAATCCTGAGGAGGAAAGAGTGGATCAGAGCAGTCTCACAAAGGCATTTGAGCTGTTCCTTCAAGGTTTCCATGGTGGAGGGGGGAGGATCACATTAGCTTATTTATTTTTTACTACAGAGATTCAACATTTGCCCTTCATAAAAATTATACAGAAAATATGTTAAGAAAATAAGTTCTAAGCCATCAAGCCCATCTGATCTGAAACAGAAAAAGACTCATAATGAATATGTCAACACTTCCACATTTTTCATTTGTTTTCTAAAGCAATTTCATCTGCAAATGAATTATGCACTCCAGGGCTAGACAGTACCTCCATTCCTACACTCCAGAAAAATGTGTTTACTTCGTTTTACATTTCATGCAGCTCAGTGGGAAGGCAGTTGCAATGCAATTTCTGATCCAGTTTAGGGTTTGAGATGTCAGTCCTCTCTTTCTTTCTCCAGAATACGGCTAAAGCTTGTAAGACCAAGGTTGGGAGTTCACTTTTTTTTCCTCCAAGTGCATTAAATACATAAATCACCTCTCAAGAAAGAACATAAGGTTCCTGGATTTCTATTTTGTCTGGCATGAAAACTAAAGTCCAATCTGCAAAGCATCATACTGTTATATCCATCTGCAGTGCACTAAAATCACTCTCAAAGATTGTAACTCTTGGAGCAAATTTTTAGCACAATGGGCAGAGCGGGTTGTTTCTTGCCCAGGTAACTGAAGCAGGTTCTTATCTCACCTAAATTCATCTTCTGTCTGAAAAGTAAGTGTATCTCAACATGCGGTTTGAGGTTCTGAAGGGTTCCACGCTGCCCTTCCACTCAGGCAGGGAGAAGTCAGTCCTGGGATTGAGTCTGAAGATTTTGATGGACATGGTCCTGGAGCGAGTTCGGAGCTAGTGTTAAAATGCCCTCTAGTGGTCATTAGCTGTAACCAGTGAGCGTAGGGAAGGGAAAATCTTGTGAAACTGGCTTGGGTGTGGTTTTCTATAAACACCGACCAAAACCAGAGTCCTAGGTTATAGCGCGGGTTACTTGCATCTGTCGCGGATACCGCGATGGCGGTAGGACTTGGTATTACTTATAGAAATGGAAGCTTGCCGTTGCATTCAAAGGGTACAATCCAGGGATTTTTCTTACGCTTTCACATCTCACTGCTCTGTCCCTGAGCCCTGGGCACACACGAGAGTTTCAAGAAGTGTTGACTGAGTGACTGAATACGTGAAGGAATCCAGTTTATGAATCATGGATTCTGTGCACATTCAATGAGCTTGGCTATTTGAAAGTGCACAAATTCTTCCTGCTTTCTGAAGTATTAAATATATTTGATTTGCATCCTTTCCCCAGTGGTCGCTTGGTGAGCTAATAATTGCCTTTCCTCTTATATCTTTGAGCTGAGGAAATATAATCAAAATGTTAAGGAGAGGGGCAACAAACCCCCCCTTTGTGGGTAGAAGAGAAGGTCTGGGCTGGCAGCTCAAGAGAAAAGATGAAGAAAGGACATCCAAAAAGAAGTGGAAGTCAGAGAATGAATAAAACACATGAGCGAATGGCTGCCATCCTATCCGAGCATCCTTCCTGATATTGTCACCCAGGGCCACCAGCAGAGGTTACATGGTGAGAACAGACAGTAGAAATCAGCCCACTCCACCGATCTGACTCCTGGTCTCCTGGGGAAATGGCATTAGGATCTAGGTTACCAACATCATAGCTTCTGCCAGGGCTTGTGTGCTTAACCCCAACAGTGGAACACCACAAATGCACAGGGGCAGTAGCCTCCAACATCCTGACCATCTCTGAGAACCTGTCCTGCTAGCAGAGGGGACAGAGGCTGTACAAATCAGAAAGTTGACGTATTAGTCCATTTTCACGCTGCTGATAAAGACGTACCTGAGACTGCGTAATTTACAAAAGAAAAGGGTTTAATGGAAAAGTCACGGTTCCACATGGCTGGGGAAGTCTCACAATCATGGTGGAAGGCAAGGAGGAGCAAGTCACATCTTACGTGGATGGAGGCAGGCAAGAGAGAGAGCGCTTGTGGAGGGGAATGCCTCTTTTTAAACCCGTCAGATCTCGTGAGACTTATTCACTATCACAAGAACAGCATGAGAAAGACTGGCCCCCATGATTCGATTACTTCCCACCAGGTCTCTCCCACAACACTTGGGAATTCAAAATGAGATTTGGGTAGAGACACAGCCAAACCATATCAATGGATAAAAGGAAATGTAATGTCAACTAAAGACAAAAAAAAAAGAAAAAAGAAAAAAAAAACTTTTGAAGAATTAAAGTTGGTTTTATTTAGAAGTCTTATTGGGGACTGTAGACTGAGGCCTACAACCCACAAGCAGTCTTTTACAGAGGTTTTATGAGACTGCGCCAGCACAGTATTTTAGCCCACTGTGTATATATAGGTGCTAGGGGTTTAGCATGTGCAAAGTTATATGAAACTTGTTTAGACATTATATTAAAGTAGAACTACGTTAAGGTTTGGGTGTAAGGGTATATCTGGTTCTAGATTATAGAAGTGTCATCACTAATCTCCCCAGATGTTATTTTATGCGTAGGAGAAGGTAAGGACTAGGTTCATTTGTCTTTTAAGGAATATAGTGACTTAGGTAGGAGAGATGGGGGCCAGGTGTTCTGTTTTATTTTGTCGTTTTGGAGAGCTGTATGTCATCACAGAGTTGGGGCTTTGTGAAATTATGTTGGCACAGAGACAAGCAAACTTAGCTGCTTATGTATGTGATTTTGTCTCACAAGTTCTCTCTTTAGGTCACAAATTAACTCTGGCCATATTTATAAAAACAATATTGATTGTGTTATGTAGCTGAGAAGGCTGTTTTTTAGGAAGGTTGGTAATCTTTAGTTGTAGTTGTAAGGAATGAGTATTGAGCCCAGTGTGTATATTTATTTATTCATTGGAAAATATGTTTTGGATTATATTTATGTTTTAATTACTAGGATTTGTTAGGGTTTTTGATGTTGCCTTTTTGGGGGTTTTGTGTGTGTGTGTTTTGGGTTTTTTTTTTTTTCAATACAGGGTTTCACTCTGTCCCCCAGGCTGGAGTGTAGTGGCATGATCTCAGCTCACTGCAGCCTCCGCCTCCTGGGCTCAAGCGATCCTCCTGCCTCAGCCTCCCGAGTAGCTGGGACCACAGGCATGAGCCACCACACCCGGCTAATTTTTGTATTTTTTGTAGAGATGGGGTTTCACCATGTTGCCTAGGCTGGTCTCAAACTCCTGAGCTCAGGCAATCTGCCCACCTCAGCTTCCCAAAGTGCAGGGGTTACAGGCATGAGCCACCATGCCAGGCTGTTGCCTTTTTTTTTAATCTAATATAACATTTTAATAGGACATTATAAGGATATTATAGATTACATATAGTAGTCTATATTTAATAGTAATATGATTTATAGATTTTGAAAAAATAAAACCAATAAAATCAGAATATGCATTTGTATTTTTTTACTAATTGTACCTTTTGTATTTATATTTACTAGTATTTTTTATGAAAAGCAATTTTGGACTGGAGTTGATTGAGAATACTTTTAGAGAAGAATTTGGAATAACAACTGGGTTGTCTTGTGCATTTCCTGTGGGCATGATGCCAGCCTTGCTCTTCTATGGCAAAGGATACAGGTTGGCACATGGAGGAGCTTGGCCTCTGCAAGCCCACAGACCTCTGGGCTAGCTACTCAGCAACTATGTGTCCTCTAGACACAGTAACTTAATCTCTGTGCCTCAGTTTCCTCAACTGTAACATGGGGCGAATAAGAGTATGTGCCGACAGAGTTGTGTGCAATTAAAAAAATAATATGTGTAAAGTACTTATGGTGGGATCCCACCTGCAGTTCGCCTCCAGGAAATGTTAGATGCTGATGTGGAGGAGGATGAAGGGGAGGACCAGATGTTTTTCCTGCTGCTGGCATATTCTGCGCGCTGCTCTTCCTTCTCCCAAATCCTTTCAGCAGCATTTTCTTTCTTCCCGAGATTGCCAAGGGAACCCAGGCAGAATGCCAGGAACTAAACCTCTCTGGAAGATTGACGGAAGAAGAGCTGGGATTTGAGCAAGATAGAGCGGGCTCAGGGTCACCATGAGGTTCAAGGTCTGCAGACTCCCCCAAGCTTTCTCTCGAGTAGATTTGAACACACAATCCAAGTCCAAATCCAAATTTAATAGGCTTCTGTACTGAGAATTCAGCTCAGCCAATTGTGTTAGAGCCTTAATGCACATGGGTACACACACACACACACTCAGTGCACACAATGAGCACTCGTACAGGGCCGGGTCACAAAAGAAGCGAATGTCCATCATCTCCCTTCACTTCCCCTGGTCTTTTCTAGTCTCCATTCCTCACCATTTCTACTGAATTCTCCCATCCCTCTCCACCTTCTACTTCTGGAACGAGCTCCAAACATAGCATTAAAAAGCTTCAGTGTTTCCAGGGAACAGAGCATTGCTGCTTTCCATAAACTGGCAGAACTGGTCGTTAAATGGAACTTTCAGGCATTCCCCCACATTCTGAAGTCACTCTCTATGTAATGATCTTCCTGATACACCTTTCTGCTCTTTCACCTGGAAAAGAATTTGAAGGATGTGGTTATCAGTCCTCTGATGATGCCAATGTTTCGACTCCATCCTGAATATTGTTATTGCTGCCAAAACCTACTGGTAAAGTAATATCAATAGAGCCACCGTACTAAAAAGGATGTGTCTGCTACGTTGTTTTCTTTAATATCAAGGACTTTAACTATATTACAGTTAAAATCAATAGAAATGTAACCTTTTCAACCACATAAAATGAGTTCATTTTTATTATTATTCTTTTTCTGCTGTTACAGTGCTGTGATTGCAAAAGCAACCGGGTCAACTTAAGCTTTATTGAAAGACCATTAAAGAAACAAACTCAAACTCATTTAAATACTGAAGCTGGTGCATTAAAAAGATCAATAAAGTAAAAGCAACTGGGGTTGCTTTACTTAAACACCCCACATACGAGAATCATTCCACAATCACAATTTGAGCAAACCTATAAAACTAGGAGACCAGCCAATAAAGAAGAAAACGCTGTTTCATTACTAGGTTTAGACCCATAAAGCCCTTAACTTTAGTCTGATTAGACATACTGCATTTAAATTTTCTCTCAGTATTTTAAAACATCATCCAGCAAAGACTTATTGATCAATGAATGTCATTTACTTAGGAAAGCCATTAGCTCCCTGAGTTAGGGGAATGACTCAGTGGTAGAAAGTGCAGTTTCATTTATTTAAAAATAAACACAAGATTAGGCTACAGTGAAGGGAAGTTCTAGACTCACAGGGAGTCAGGAAATTTTCTTTCTATCCTTGCTGAGCGTGGTATCTTGAACATAGTTATTTGTATTCAATTGAATGTTTACTACCAATTCTGTGGCCATGGATTAGACACAAACCTCTTTGTGTGTGCCTCAGTTTCCCCAGAGGTAGAACGCATTAATATCCTTTTCTCCCTCTTTCTCTGGATAAGAAAACAAAAATGATTGACACAAACCTCTTCAAGTTCTTCCTTAAAAACTATAATACAAACTATAAACCTTAGTGGTAATATGTACTTAGAATAATTTTAGAATCAGATTGGTCCTTATTGGCCATGAGTCCAACCCTTGACCAGTCTCTGCTTATATTACTAGTTATGGAAAACATGCTATTTTTCTTCTTAAAATACCATTTATTGTGTTTTTCTAATTATACATTTAAATATATTTATTATAGAAAGTACAGAAGAGAACACAGAGGAAAATCAGGTTTGCTTGTGAGTCCCATTTAAAATCAGCCCTCGACCCTTCTCCACCAAACCCGTCTTGCTTACTCCAGGGCATTGCTGAGCAGTTCTCTGTCTTCGTTCTCTACTGACTCATTCCCATCAGCAAATAAGCATGCAGATATTTCTCTTACTTTAAAACAAAAATTTCTCCTGAGACCACTTTCCCCACATCTTTGTTTTTCTTTGCAATAAAACGCCCGGCAATAGTTATCTATGCTTGCTGTTTCGGGTCAGCTTCTCCCATTCTCTCTCTCTCTCTCTCTCTCTCTCTCTCTATTTATTTATTTATTTATTTATTTATTTATTTATTTATTTTTTTGGAGATAGAGTCCCACTCTGTCGCCCAGGCTGGAGTGTAGTTGTGCAATCTCAGCTCACTGCTACCTCCACCTCCCAGGTTCAAGCGATTCTCCTGCCTCAGCCTCCCCAGTAGCTGGAATTACAGGTGTGTGCCACCACGCCTGGCTAATTTTTGTATTTTTAGTAGAGATGAAGTTTCATCATGCTGGCCAGGCTGGTCTCGGACCCCTGACCTCAAGCAATCTGCCCACCTCAGCCTCCCAAAGTGCTGGGATTACAGGTGTGAACCACCATGCTCAGCCTCTTTCTTCAGTCAACTTTACTGAAATGTAAATTGCATGCAATGAAATTTACACACTTTAAATGTACAGACTGATGAGTTTTGACAGACGTGCACACCCATGTAGCCACCACCACACTCAAAATTTGGAATATTTCTAATATCCCAGAAGGTTCCCCTGGGCCCCTTTCCCACCCACCATTGCCCCCAAGCATTTACTGATCAAATTTCTATTTCTATAAAGTCACAGATTAGTTTTACCTGTTCTATAATTTTTTTTTTTTTGAGACAGAGTCCCGCCCTGTCATCTAGGCTGGAGTGCAATGGCACAGTCTCAGTTCACTGCAACCTCCACCTCCCAGATTCAAATGATTCTCCTGCCTCAGCCTCCCAAGTAGCTGGGACTACAGGCACATGGCACTACACCCGGCTAATTTTTGTATTTTTAGTAGAGATGAGGTTTCACTATGTTGACCAGGCTGGTCTTGAACTCCTGACCTCATGATCTGCCTGCCTCGGCCTTCCAAAGTGCTGGGATTACAGGCGTGAGCTACCACGCCCGGCCTACTTGTTCTATAATTTTAAACAAATGTCCAGCTCCTTTCATTCTGCATAATGATTCTGAGGTTCCTTCTTCTTGTCGTGTGTATCTGTGGTTGTTTTTTTAATTGCTGGGTGGTAATACACTTATGAATATACCCCCATGCATTTATTCATTCACCTCTTGATGGATATGTGGATCATTTTGGGGATATTATGACTACACCTGTTAGGAACATTTGCATACACATGTATAGAGCAGACTTTTTTTTATTTCTTTCAAGTAAATATCTAGGAATGAAATCAATGAGTTTATGGTAAGTGTATCTTTAACTGTTTTTTGATGTAATATTCCCTCTAGGAAGACAGCAGAATTCCAGTGACTCCACGTAGTCACTAGCACTTGATATTGTCAGTCTTTTTAATTATAGCCATTCAACTGGTGTGTGGTAGTATCTCATTTTGGGTTTAATTTTCATTTCCCTGATGACTGATGATGTTTAGCGACTTTTCAAGTGCTTATTGACCACTGGTAAATCTTCTTTCGTGAAGTGTCTGTTCAAGCCTTTGGCCCCTTTTTAAAATTGGATTGTTTGCCTTATTATTATGTTATAAGGATTCTTTACGTATTCTGGATACAACTCCTTTGCCAGATGCATGTACTGTGAATATTTTATCCTCATTTTTTCTTATTCCCAATCCCAGCTGGGCTGCTGTCCACCACTGCTTAAAGCTACTCTTATGGATACTATCAATGACCTTCTCACCACCAAACCCACTGGCTACTTCACAGTTCTCCTGCTGCTCCACTTAAAGGCAGCATCTGAAACCAGGGAGCCCTTGGCTTTTAGGGAACACTGCTCCTGTCCTCCTTCTCCCTCATGGGCCCCTTTTGCTCTGTCTCCTTCACTGTTTCTCTCCTTCCTGACCTCCTTCAGTGGGCGTGCTTCCAGTGCTTTACCATTTGTATTCACTCCTGTGATGATCTCATCCAATGTCGTGCTCTTAAATTTTATCTCTGTGCCTCAAACTCCAAATTATTATCTCAACCCAAACCTCGCCATGAACTGCCGACTCACACACCAAACTGACTCCCAGATATCTAACTGATTCTTGATGTCTGATAAACACTCCGAACACAATATCTCCAAATCTGACCTCCTGATCTGCCCCTTCCCACAACCTGCCCTGCTTATAGCCTTTCCAATTTCAGCTGATGGCAACTCCATCCTTCCAGCTGGTCAGGATTAAAACCTTGGAATATCACTAGAACATCACTCACTGGTTCTCACAGCTCACATCCGGTTTTTCAGAACCTCATGCTGGTTCTACCCTGAAAACATCCAAATTCTGACCAGCCTCCCACCTTGCACATCTGCTGCTCGGGCTCCAGACTCCATCCTGTTCTGCAGAGGCCTCCTGACGGGTCTCCAAGCTTCCTCCCTTGCCCTTGCAGGAGCGTCTCTGACATCACTACCCCATCTGTTTAAAGTACGAGTTCTCTGCTCAACACCCACTGACAGTCCTCGTTTCTCTGAGGACAAGCCAAAGTCTTTCCAGTGACCTGCAGGACTCCACAGGAACTAGCCCCGTGACCCTCCCCTTTTCATGCTACTTGAGCCTCACTGGCTTCATGCCGGGAATTCTCCCGCCTTGGCTGCTCTCTCTGCCTGAGTGTTCTTTCCCTGGGTTTCTGCAGGGCTAACCCCTCGAATCCCTCAAGTCTTCATTGAATCTCCTTTTCTCAGTGAGGCTACCCTGACCGCCTTATTTAGGGTTGCAGTCTGACTTTTACACCAGGCCTCTTATTGGGCTCTAATTTGAGGGAAAAGACTTCGAATTTATCCCCTCCTACCATATTACATCATTTACTTTTTCTCTGTGTCTCTCTATACTAGGAAGGAAGCGATATGAGGGTTAGGATTTGGGGCTTTTTGTTCACTGATGTATCCTAAGTACCTAGAACAGTCAGTTCAAGGCACCTTATGGGCACTTGACAAACGTTTCTTGAATGAATAAACGGACCTGTGATGTGACTACAGATTCCTTCCCACACGATGCACTCGGAGGCCCCTTTCTTCCCACCCAGCCAGTGCCAGGCATTCTGCAGCAACACTGCTCCATCATCCTCTTTTCTCTGCCCCTGCAGATTGACATCTTCAGCTCCCTGGCCACCAGATTATGGTTGGGTTCAGCTAGCAGAACACTGCAGGAAAACACAGGGGGAGGCACGAGAGATCGGGGTCTGTCCTGTCCTCACCTCTATCCTGCTTCTTCCCAAAGTGCTGGGATTACAGGAGTGAACCACCGTACCCGGCCTCATTTTACTTATTATAGCCACAGGTTCAAATCTATTCATATTTTTGTTTTGCTTTGTTTTTTCTGCTCTGTTTAGAGTCGGAGTCTCACTCTGTCATGCAGACTGGAGTGCAGTCACACAATCACAGCTCACTGCAATCTTGAACTCCTAGGCTCAAGCAATCCTCCTGCCTCAGCCTCCCAAAGTGCTGAGATGACAGGTGTGCACCACCATGCTCAGCCCATATTTATTTTTTAACCCTTGTTCTATTATTACCTCACTCTCTGCAAAGACTTCTAGAACCAACTACTTGGAGTTAGGCCAAACTTTACAGCTCCAAGGGCACAGTCCTCCACAAGACTGGTCTCACGTCAAACCCCAGCTGCAAGCCCAGGGGTCTCCAGGTGACCCTCATTTACAAGCAGCTGGCTACAAATTCAGAGGTTCCCACTACTCCCTCAGGTCAATAATTTGCTAGAATGATTTGCAGAACTCGGGAAAGCACTATACTTATGATCAAGTTTTACTATAAAGGATACAATCCAGACCGGCCAAAGGGAGAGATGCAGGTGGCAAGATTTGTCCCAAATGCAAAGCTTCTTTGTCCTAAGGACACACTACCCTCCCTGCACATCAGTGTGTGACAATGCCCAGAGTATTACAAACCAGGGACATTTACTGAGCTTCGGTGTCCAAAGTTTTTTTTAGAGGTTTCATTACACAGGCTTGGTTGATTGAATCATTGGCCACAAAGGTGAACTCAATCTCCAGTCCCTCTGCCTTATCTGGGGTTTGGGCTCAATGCTCCCAACTCTAATTGCATGTTTGATGAAAAGAAGGGAGAAGGAAAACATAAAAACCCTCCTCCTTACATGAATGCCCTTCTCTCCTCAGTTCTCATCACTGCTCTTCTAGCTAGCTTTCTCTTGGCCCAAAGTACACAAATGGTGGCTCCAGCAGGTTCCCTATTCCTGGACATTTTCAATTCTAAGCAGCAGCCTCAGGCATTGGTGATCCTATTGGATGATCCAGTCACATGTTCTTCCTAAATGCCAAGGGTATGATTATGCTACATTGCTTGGAGGAGTGTGCAGCCTTGCCTCATTCTGCAGAAGTTCCCAGCCATGCTGTAGCCCCAGTTCCATATACGTACCACAGCCACCAACACAGGAGCCTGTAGGGCACAGTCAGAATCCATCTTCTTTACCTCTTGGGTTCAGATAACCAAGCAAAGTTCTCCTCCAGGCCATTTTCATGTTCTCTCTGTCTTCAATACACATTCTCCTATACATGCCTCATAGTCCTGATTAGGTTAGCAGGCCCTGTGGTTGAGCAGACTTCCAATTTGGGAATTGAATGTCAGTTTCTTCCTACATTTAGGCCCAGAATCACCCTACTCTTGCCCAATGTCTTTGAACTGTTTCTTCATCCAGATCTTTTCATCCCTTAATACATTCTTTCTCTCAAGAAGAATATCAGTTTCTCAAGGAGAGAGATCCTGGGGTCTCTCCAGACACACCGACATGTGCTTGAGTCCCAACGTAGCTACACATGAACTAATTCGTCAGCCCCTTAGGGTCTTGATCAGGTCACCTTGAGCCACAATTTTCACCAACCTTTCCTCTCTGATGGAAATCTGAAGTCCTCCCTGGGATTTCCAAGGGTTCTTTCTGCTTCCAGGTGCTTTCTTCTGTGGGTGATCTCTCTGATCCAGAGAATATCCACCCAGAATGAAGCTCAGCACTTCCTTTGGTTCACAAACACACAACCGCCCAAAGCATTCACTGAGCAGTAGCCTCTATTGACTATTTCAGGGTCGGGGAGAGGGGTACACAGCACATTAACAAATCACTGCAAGTCATAGAGTAGATATTCATGCCCTCAATAGTTCCTTTACCCATCCTTCTATAGAGGCTTCTCATAGCCCTTCACGCCAGGCAGTGCCAGTCTTTCTGCTTTCACCCCAGGCAGTGCCAGGATTTTGATTTCTCCTGATTCATGCTCCCTGGCTCCCCACCTGCTTCCTCACTCATCTCCAGGTCTCCCCCACTATTATATACAATAACAAGCTGACTCTTCCCAAAACAGGGTCCAAGCTTGCTGGCCCAGAGTAGTCAGGTGCTCAACAGATGCAAAAACTTGGATTTGACCCCCTTTAAAGGAGTTGTGGTTACAAATAACAACAACAATGAGAATTTGGGGGTGATCCTATGCCAGAATAACAGAGATAGATAGATACATAGATAGATAGATAGATAGATAGATAGATAGATAGATAGACAGATGATAGATAGATAGATAGATATTGATTGATAGATGAAAAACTGTAACCCCAGTTTTGTATAGATCAATCCAAACTTTGCATCCTAGCATTCAAAGCCCTTCACAACGTATCTTCCATTTACCTTCTATTGTCTTCTACCATTCTTTTCCAAAACACATCCTAAGGACCAGCATGGCTGGTGTCGTCTACCATTTTTTTTCCAAAACACATCCTAAAGATCAATGAGGCTAGTGACCTCAACACCCTTAGAGAAATTTGGTTTATTATTCCTCCTTCAAAACGCCTCCACTCTGCCAATCTACTGTACCATGATGACACTTATTCTCCATATTACATATTTTAGAATTAGGGGTAACATTTTACATTTAATTTTAGTAGATTGTCTTAGAATATTATTCCTTCATTGTTTCATGTCATGTTTTCCAAACAAGAATCTAAAGCGCCTTGAGCCCAGCTGGGAACATCTGCACGTCATCAGCTGGACTCCAGTCCCAGTGCTCAAGGTGGCTGGACCACAAAACCACATGGAAGCCCTTGCATAATGTTAGGAGGTGTCAGCAAGATGATTTGAGTCTTACGCCGAGGCCTCTCTCTTCCCACAGGGGGTCTGCACCACCCCCAGCAGCCAAGTTACCCTGTGACAGTCATTCATCTGTGCTCTGGGTGGCCCATGGGATGAGTGTACTACTGGGCAGGTGTAACTTCAGGGGCACACACAGCAGACATCCCCAGCTGACATGACAACCTACTGGCTTCTCAAGATTTGACTAATCATATATAGTCATCCCACAATATCCTCGGGGTATCGGTTTCAGGACCCCCAAGTACATCAAACCTCATGCATACTCAAATCTTGTGGTCAGCTCTGAGGAACCTGCATCTAGCAAGGGCCGACTTTGCATATACGCAGGTCCTGCATCCCAAGAATACTGTATTTTTGATCCGCATTTGGTTGAAAAAAAAATCCACTTGTAAGCAGTGCAGTTCAAGCCCATGTTGTTTAAGGGTGAACTACATTTCTGTGAGGGGATCATCTTCAAATAAAGTCCTTGTTTCTGTACCAGTTACAGCAAAGGCCCTGCTTTGAGAATTTAACAGTCAGAGTAGCCACCCACTTCAAAACTGACCAGTCCCATCCGT
Source organism: Homo sapiens (assembly GCF_000001405.40). Classification (NCBI taxonomy): domain Eukaryota; kingdom Metazoa; phylum Chordata; class Mammalia; order Primates; family Hominidae; genus Homo; species Homo sapiens. The sequence goes on from NT_187564.1 coordinate 39,322, forward strand.
GGCAAGCAGACGATGTGACATCAACGGCTCTTACCGCACCAGGCTAATACAGTTATCCTGGTCGTAGTTTCATTTTACTGAAGGCCTTATTAAAGCGCCCCCACACAACTCAGCCAGGAATTCACCAGGAACCAAATTTAAACAAATCAAACCCCGAAAACGTGCTCAACAATTCAAGATTACAGAAGGGAATAAAGACGAAAATAAGAAAAGCCTCAATCATATTTGTCATATCTCCATCGTTTCTCATAATAATTCTCAAAGTTCTTTATTCCTTTCATTTATTTAATTAAAAACTTAGGCCATGCACGTTGGCTCATACCTATAATCCCAGCACTTTGGGAGGCCGAGGTGGGCAAATCACGAGGTCAGGAGATCGAGACCATCCTGGCTAACACGGTGAAACCCCGTCTCAACTAAAAATACAAAAAATTAGCCAGGCTTGGTGGCGGGCACCTGTAGTCCCAGCTACTCAGGAGGCTGAGGCAGGAGAATCGCTTGAACCCAGGAGGCGGAAGTTGCAGTGAGTCAAGATCGTGCCACTGCACTTCAGCCTGGGCAACAGAGCAAGACTCCATCTCAAAAAAAAAAAAAAAAAAAACTTAACCATAACATTATACAATTTAAGCAGCATCATATTTGTTAATATCTATTTTCAAAAGCGACTCTTCCTAATTTTATTGTTTTCTTCCTCCCTTTTCCACGCATTTGTTTGTTTTTCTTCCTCCTAGAAAGTCATGTTCTAAGTTATCAAAATGTGTTTTTCCTCGAGCTCTTCAGGGAAAAAATGCCATATAAAATTAATTCATGATTATTTTATGTAAATTATTATCTAAAGTACTCACTATGTGTAACGGTTAAAGTTGATTGTTACTAAAGTGATTCTAAATATGAAAGTGTATAAAACCATGAACTATTCTCACACTACATCTCAAAGAAATTTGAAATTTCTAGTAAATTTCAAATTTACTAGAAGACTAGTTCAGATATTGTTTTTAATGATTTACAATCATCTTCTGAATTTTCATTTGCAAGTCAAAGTCACAAAACTAAAAGTGCTACATGTTTTCTGACCAGATTCTCTGAAATAATTATATAGTGCTTGAGCCATTGTGCTATAAATATCTTTGAAATCAATGCTATTAAAGAAATGCTATATCAGCTGTGAAATGAGAATTTCTCCTCCTGTCCGTTGACATTTACAAAAATTATACGAACTTATTGATAGAAAATCCGTTTGCTTGGTTTCTTTTTAAACATCTTATGCTTTAAATAATATTCAGTGTTTTTCCAGTAGGTGGAGTATTAGTCTAGATAAAGTAAATCACTGTGTGAAAGCTAATTTTTTCTTCCTACTATTTTGAGAAATTTTTGATATAAAACATAAATCACCTAATAGTTTCACTAATTCTTTTAATTGCATCAATATGGTATGATTTCAATTACTCTAGACCTTAAGAGGCAGATATATTTTACTGATTACATTACCATAATAACAATGGCATAATGACAATAGCAGTAAGTACTTATTATACCTCTCATTTTAAAATTGCTTATCAAGCCATTAGAGAAACCTCCTGACATCTCTGAAACAGAAATTACACAACAAAGAAAGATCTGTCTCTTAAATCCTTTCTCTCTCGAGCCTTAAGCATTTCTGGGAAACTGCGTTCCTTGTGAGTTGAATATTGGTTCAAGGCTGATGCTACCACTTCCAGTCCAGGAATCTGAGACGATCACTACCTCTCCCTGGGATTCTGCTTCCCCTTCTAAGTTTGTGAAAAGATGGTGATAAACTACATCTCTGAGGCCCCTCCCTACCTGAAAATCCCCAAATGAACCTGAAATTGACAATCTTATGGCTGAATGTCGGGAGCCAAGTCTGCCGAGATGTTTTAGTACATACGGCAAAGATGGCACTTGTTATACGGTCTGGATCTCAAAATGGAAAGTGAGAGAATGATGCCTTTCCAGGGCAGGTGGACGCTTCCTCCCACCCTCCATCCATCACCAAAACCGGTCGAAGTTGAATAGTGCCCTGAAAAGACACCTTCAAGTGGTACCCTAGAGTTGTATCTTCACAGATGATTCTGCTCAAAGCCCCCAGAGACATGGGAAAATACTATTCCTTAGGGCCATGGTAGCAGAACATCTTCAAAGAAACCTCACAGAACTGGTTCAACCTCCTCACTTTACAAATGAGGAAACTGAAGTCCAAGAAGGCTTCCTAACTTGATAAACATCCATTTAACACGTGGCAGAGCCAGGGCCCATCTCCTGGCCCCATTCTCATCCCCCCAGGCCACCTCTCCTCTCTTACACTGGAAGTCTAGAAGCTGGTTTGCAAGGGGTCCCTGAATGACCTTCCATAGAGGACAGTGCCTTACCGAGAAGAGGAAACACATACTGAAACCAGCCACTTTTCTCTTTTTGCCTTCTCACAGTCAGGTGATTCGGGTTTGGAGAGAGCCCCAGCTCCCATGCGCAGGGGATTTTCTGTCCTAGAAAGGCTTAGGCACAGTGGATTCACCTGGATCTCTTCTAGTTTTGCAGCCAGTTTTTCTTTCTTGCTCTTGGACCGGAGAGCCCCCAGACCCAGGCGTAGGCTTAGGTAAAGGGGGCTCAGGAGACAAATCTGTCTGCTTTGGCCCTAGGCTAGGCCACCTCTGGCCTTGCCAACAATTAATTAATACATTAGTTAATTAATTAATTAAGTCAAAGTCCTCCAACGTGGTTGAGCCCAGCTGGGGACTGGTAATAAAGTGAGTGGTTTAGAGAATAATTCCCAGAAGAAGCACAAATTGATTATTGTATTTGGTGAAAGGACAGCAGAAGAGCATTCTGGGCAAAAGATACAGCTGGTCTAAAGCCCTGAGCACACCTGGGAGTGCACAGTGCCTCCCCAGGTGTGAGAGTCAGGTCACAGCACAGGGGCAAGGTCTAGGCGAGGGCACTGCATTCTCGCCTCTCCATTCTACGAAGATGCCCCCTACCCCTCTGATCTCCCCAGGGCCATTTAATCTCTCCCAAAGAGGCAAAGGCTCCCTGACTTATCCATCTGCAGTTACCTGCAGGATTCGGTTAACTTTCCCTTCGTAAAGGCATCCGCCGTGAAACACACCAGGCACCTCCAGGACCGGCATGCATCGCTAACCCAGTGACAAAAGCATGGCTGTTGCTCGTTTATTCCAGAGTTCTGTTAGGGGAGAGTGTTTCTTGGCCTCTTTCTTCTTCTTGAGTATCTCTATAAGTCGGCAGGATTTATGAGTAGCTCAACCAAAAACAAATTAAGGTAGACAACGTGACCTCTAAATGGGTCAGCCTCCCAAATGGTGTCCTCTCATCTGCACCCATGGCTGTTCTTGGGATTGGAGGGATGGCCGCAGGGCTTGGCAATGTAGGTTGGGAGGGGGCTGGCCTGCTGACCCTCACCCTGATGGGCTTGTGGCTCTCAGCAATGTGGTCCCAAAAACAAGTTGCACTGAAATCAAGACTCTCAGAGCAGAGCAGGGGCAAGTGTCTCTTGCATGAAAATTCGGAGTCCCAGATTCACGATCAGCCAGTCTCCCCATCGATGTGGTCTGGGAGGATGGAGCCAAGCTCACTCACTCAAACTCGATGTCAATAAAATGCTATGAGGGCTTCAGTCCACTGAGTCATTCACAGAGATTCCTCCCTCTACAAACAGAAGTTCTAATGGAAGTAAAAGCTAGGAATCCACACCTTAAACACACACACACACACACACACACAGACAGATTTACATACAGATACATACACGAACATGGCTCAGCCAGTGCTGACCCATTTAACACATGTTAAATGAGCACCTTGCATATCACAGGCCCTTTTCATGTGGATCGTAAATTAACTGGAAGGTTTATTAGATAACACTACAGAGAAAGAAATAGCCGAAAGTCCAGAGGTGAGGTGTTAGCCACGGAGCTCTGACAACCAGGTGGATTTCCACTGCACCTGCTGAGCCCACTGATCAGTGTTTAACAAGCGTGTGTTATGCCACGCTCCTGGGGCAGGAGTGGTAACTGAGGCAGCGTCCTTGAACCCACAGGGTTACGGTCTCACCAAGGGAGGATCAGGAACAGAGCTGCAACCCTGGACTAGCAGGAGAGTCACACCTAATCCTACTTCTTTATCTCCCACACATCTACATTTGCTCCATGTCCTCTCCATTATCAGGAACAAAGTGATTCTAGGGTTAGGAAGGGGCAGAAAACATTTAGATGAACGTATCCTTGATACTGGGGTCAAGGCCTGCTTGTTCGTATTTTCAATTGCAAATGGCCCTAGGCTTGTGTATACCCTTCATAGAATGGAGATTCCGATGGGGAGAAAGAGATGGTCTCCACTCTTCAAACCCTCTCTTCTTTGAAGTCTGTGGGAATTTCTAGTTTAGAAGGACGGGTAGACACAGATAAGGGGTGCGAGTTGAGCTGATAATTGTTTCTCCTACCTGAAGTCTATCTGCATCAGCCTCTTCTTATCTTCAGCCTTGGGCTTCAACTTGGAGTAAATAAAACATTCATCAGATGATATGCTCTAGGCTGGGCGTGGTGGCCTACAATCCCAGCATGTTGGGAGGTTGAGGTGGGAGGATCACTTGAGCCCAGGAATTTGAGACAAGCCTGGACAACATAGTGAGACCCCATCTCTCCTAAAAATAATTTTAAAAATTAGCCAGGCAGCCAGGCACGGTGGCTCACACCTGTAATCCCAGCACTTTGGGAGGCTGAGGCAGGCAGATCACGAGGTCAGGAGTTCAAGACCAGCCTGGCCAACATGGTGAAACCCCATCTCTACTAAAAATACAAAAATTAGCTGGGCATGGTGGCATGTGCCTGTAATCCCAGCTACTTGGGAGACTGCAGCAGAACTGCTTGAACCAGAACTTGGGAGGCAGAGGTTGCAGTGAGCCAAGATCACACCACTGCACTTCAGCTTGGGCAACAAAAGCAAAACTCCGTCTTAAAAAAAAAAAAAAAAAAAAAAAAAAAAAAGCCAGGCATGGTGGTATGCACCTGTGGTCCCAGCTACTCGGTAGGCTAAGGTGGAAGGATCACTTGAGCCTGAGAAGTGGAGTCTGCAGTGAGCTGTGACTGCGCCACTGCACTCTAGCCTGGATGACAGAATAAGACCCTGCCTCAAAAAAAAAAAAAAGAAACTCCTTAGTCATACACCTAAAGCCAATCTCTCCATAATCACTTTATTGGGAATAAAATGATATTTTGAAGAAAAAAGATGATATATTCTAAATTCAATATCGCTGAGCTAATTCCAAGTATTCCCTAAAATTAACGATTAGGAAAAACAGCAAGAAATCCTAGGCCTTTGTCTAGGCCATGGAAAAAGCGGGATCTGCCTTGAAATTGTGTCCTTCATCTCAGGAGATGGGGCCCGGCCCCTCCACCGGTCCAGGAGAACCCACGCCATTTAGGTATTTCTTCTTTAGCTTCTCCACTGCATCCCCAAAGCGTAAACGGCTGATGAAATCCCTTCAAACTCTGCCAACGCAAACTGTGGCTTAAAAATGGAAATGAATGGATATTGCAAAATAATACCTGAATAGACGTTAAAGCTTTAAGCTCCACGTGTAAGACACAAGGTCCTGCCTAAATCAGTATGCTTCTAATGGCTTCATGGCAAATGTTGAACAAGTTAGTGTTCACTCAAGGTTGTCCTGGGGTACATGGAGTCACAGTCTTTAATTTTAATGAGCCTCTATTACACAATCTCTTATCGCCTCTTAACTGCCAGTGAAATGACCACCAGCTAAATGTACAGCAAAATACATTTCTACAAAAGAGCTCACTTGGACCCCAAAGAAATTACCTTGAAATTATTACACTTAACCGTGGCAAATGCACCAGGGTTCATTTGAAAAGAGGTGGCCACCTGGCAATACGAGTGAAATCATATAATATGTCATTTCCTTAGGCTTTTCATGTTAAGCTTTTCTCGCTATATCTGATTTAAAGTATTTTCTCTTTTAAATGTAAATATTTAAAATGTAGCTGATCCTCTCCCTCTCCTAATTGAGGTGACTGGGCTAGTTCAAGAGACTGTGGCCTGCAGCTCACCGTTTTGTCTCTGGAGTCAGAGTGCCAGCCTTGGTACTTACTCTGTGACTGGACACTTTATAATATCAAAGATACGAGATCATACCTATCTAATATCTATTCAATAAGACAATACATATTAAAAGATCAGCACAAAGCCTTGTACACAGCAGTTGCTCAATATGTGCTTCCTCCTTTTTCCTACTATTGAATCCCACCAGCCAAGACCAGAACTATATCTGCAGTTGGACAAAGTTGGGTTTATCCCTTGTTGCAGTGAGGGCTTAGCAGTTTGAGTCAAACGGGAGCTGGAAACCACAGTCGGTTAAAATGGGGTGATAAATAGAAGCATTAACTATGGCAAACAGCAACTCCAAGATGTAAGGAAATCCGTGCAGTTTCCTAGTGGCCCCCTAGGGCTGAGGGAGCCCATCCAGGGACAACCTCGGTGGGTGTCTGACCGTAATGGAGGCAAAGCTGCCCCTGTCTCCTCTGACAGTCTCCAGCTGGGCCTGAGAGTTAAGTTGACGTAGGAGAGACTAACAGAGGAAACGCAAGCCAATGTTTACAGGCATGTGAGGGCCTTCACAGGACACCAAGATCCAAAAGCAGCCAGGCCTAAGTGCTTATGCAACAGGGTGAACAAAAAGTAGTAATTTTGAAAAAGTAACTAACTATATGGAGATACTAAAGACAAGGGTTATTTTAACAAGAGCTTTTTAACTGTCAAAACACTTTTTGTTTGTACCGATTTCCCTCGGCCTCAACTCCCCGCCTCTGGAGAGAAGAATGTTCTTTTCTTCCTGGTAGAGAGAAGCCATCTTCCATATGAAAGTTTCATCTCCTGCTTTCAGGAAGAAAAGGGGAGGTCAGAGTGTCCTTTGTGCATCTGTTGTTTTTCTTTTTTTCTTTGAGATGGAGTCTCACTCTCACCCAGGCTGGAGTGCAGTGGCACCATCTCGGCTCACTGCAACCTCTGCCTCCCGGGTTCAAGCGAGTCTCCTGCTTCAGCCTCTCAAGTAGCTGGGACCACAGGCGTGCACCACCATGCCCGGCTAATTTTTGTCTTTTAGTAGAGATGGGGTTTCACCATGTTGGCCAGGCTGGTCTCGAACTCCTGACCACAGGTGATCCGCCCACTTTGCCCCCCAAAGTGCTGGGATTATAGGCGTGAGCCACCACGCCCAACGCATCTGTTGTTTTTCAAGTGCCTTTAGCTCAAAATTGTCCCCATCTCAAGCCAGCATATCTGGAGGTGGCGTGTTCTGAAGCCCTTCAGGACCTTGCTGGAGAAGGTGTGTCTGCCTGGCAGAGAGCAGAGACCCCTGCTTAGCCAAGCTGGAGCTGGTCCGGAATTGCTGGGGGAGCGACAGGCTGGCTGCCCTCTGGAGTGCAGGTGGGGGAGCAGGCAATAGCAATGGCGGTGGGGGTGAGAGTGAGGGGCTACCAGGGCGGTTCAGACACACGTCCAGAGGTCTGTGGGCAGGTTGCCATGGCTGAGACGCTAGGGTCACAGAGGGTTCTCTTAAAAGGCCTGCGACTCAGACAGGCTTCACCTCATGTCCTCGCACTCTGGGCAGAGCCTCTGCTATCCCCCTCCTCGAGCCTGTGCTGGAAATTGCAGTAAGCCCCTTCCTCTTGCAGTGTCCCTCCAGAGCACGCTACTGAGAAAGCTTGACATTGTGCTCACCTTAAAAGCAAAATCTTTAAGGAATTCCATTGTTTATCATAGAGCTTATATTGAAGGGTGCATTGGGAGCCAGGAAGCAACGAGTTGATTGATAATTGACGCAAAGGGACCCATATACCTTAGAGAATGACGGGGTGGCTCTAAGAGTCAGGAAGGGCTTATTTTAGGAATCAGGCTTATGGTGGGGAGGGTTCAAGGAAGCAGGTGTCTCTAATCAACTGGGTGCTCTCAGAAAAGCAGGGCTAATTCAGTTATTGGGCCTCTTAATGCATTTCATCTGGGAGGCAGGAAGAATGGAGAACACTAACGTTGTTATTGAAGAAATTGCCGGGAGAAAGAGATGTTTTGGTTTTGGGTTGTACAAGGTCTGTTATTTTTTAATTTCTTGTATTAGTTTCCCAGTGTTGCTGTAACAAATTGCCACAAACTTAAGGACTTAAAACAACATGCATTTACTATCTCACAGTTCCAGAGGCCAGAAGTGCAAAGTCAGCGCAAACGGCTGAAGTCAATCAGAAAGGCTGGTGCCTTCCGCAGGCTCTGAGAGGAGAATCTGTTTCCTTGCCTTTCTCAGCTTCTAAGAGTCTCCTGCGTTCCTTGGGCCCTTCCTCACGTCACTCTAACTTCTGCTTCCGTTGTCACATCTTCTCTCCACTGCGACCCTCTTGCCTCCCTCCTATAAAGACCCTGGTGGGGACCTGAGACCCACCCAGGGAATCCAGGAGAATTCCCCTATTATCTTAATCACATCTGTAAAGCCCCTCTTGCCAAGGAAGGTGACGCGCTCTCAGGTCCTGAGAATTAGGATGTTATCTTTGGGAGGCATGATTCCGCCCACCATATCTCCATATTCAGACAAAATTGCAGAATGGTCTCGTGTCACATGGTCAGGTCCTGGAGAGCCCTGATCCGATGCTGCTGTTCTGAATTATGTTCGGCAGGGGGACAGCACCACCTGGTGGTAACACTCGGCAAAGCATCCGCCGTCAGCTGCAGAGCTGCTTTTCCTTTGGGGTCCTCTTGCTTTAACCCACCTTCCCCACAATCCCACTCATCCCTTCCGGCCACAGCCCGCCTTCTTAGACACAAGGCAGGCAGGAGTATGCGAGAGAGAAGACGTAAGGACGCCTTGCTCGTGGTAAGATCAGAGACTGATCGGAGAACGCTTTCCTCCTTCCCTCCTTTGAGAATTTCCTCAGGCACTGCAGCTTCACCTTTGTGAATGTTGAAGGCTTTCTGGATATCCTCGTCACTTCTCATATTTTCCTAACTGAGCAGGTAATTTGGATTAGAACTGTACAGCATGACCCATTTAGGTTCCTGTTCACTGTTTTGAAATTAATGACTTCATCAATGAGTTAAGGCTAGGAGTGTTCATTATGTTTTTTAGAAAAGTCAAAACCGAGCAGGATCACCGAGAAGCAAGATGACACAATCAACAATCAAAAACCTCTGAGTAGAGGCTATTACTGTGTTTCAAAACAAAATATATAAAAGTGGCCGGGTGCGGTGGCTCACGCCTGTAATCCCAGCACTTTGGGAGGCCGAGGTGGGCGGAACACAAGGTCAAGAGTTCGAGACCATCCTGGCCAACATAGTGAAACCCCGTCTCTACTAAAAATACAAAAATTAGCCGGGCGTGGTGGCGGGCGCCTGGAGTCCCAGCTACTAGGGAGGCTGAGGCAGGAGAATGGCGTGAACCCGGGAGGCGGAGCTTGCAGTGAACCGAGATGGTGCCTCTGCACTCCAGCCTGGGCGACAGAGCGAGACTCAGTCCCAAAAAAAAAAAAAAGAAAGAAAGAAAAGTTTATATAAATAAATGTAAAATTTAGCATTTTTGGTTAAAGCCATCAACCACGCAGACATAGGAAGGGAATACACTTATAGAGATCAACTAGGAATTTTATTTTACTGTAGCTCAGCAAAAATAATATAAAATGGCTGCCAAAAAGCCAAGGCCGTCTAGTCTGGATCTGCAGAAACAATTCAGGAAAAGGAAGGTACCTCCACTGTGTGGGTCATGCCAAACCTGAGGACGGATTTCCCTTCGGTGCTCGCGACTTTAAAAGTTGCATTAACAACTGTTAATGTCAATTATCAAGATCCCACCATGTATTGTATTGGGCTGTATTGGGCCTGAGGACACAGAAATGTAAAAACCTAAACATGGAAATTTAATCTTTAAAACTGTGTACTATGTATCCATAGAACGAAATACTAGTCATCCATGACAAATGATTTTTGTTGTATATTTATTGAGACAGAAGACATTCATAATATATCGTCAAGTTAAAAAATATACAAAACATAATATGTGTTAGTTGGGTTCCATCCCTTTTTACTTAAAAAGTTGAAAGAATATACATTAAAAGTTAACATTGACTATCAGCTGGCAGTTTTTTTCTGCAAATCTATATCATTTTTTCTATAACGAACGTATATTACTTGTATCCATTTTTAAAGCTAAGAAAATAGAATTTTGTTGTATTTTTATCGACACAGAGCGACATTCATAATATATCATCAAGTTAAAAAATATACAAAACAATGTGTTACTTGGGTTCCATCCCTTTTTTATTTAAAAAGTTGAAAGAAAATACATTAGAAATTAACATTTATTATTAGCAGGCAACTTTTTTTCCGGCAAATCTGTGTTTTTCTATAATGAACATATATTATTTGTATCCATTTTTAAAATTCTTTAAGAAAATAGAACTTTGTTACAAATTTAGTTTTTTGTTTTGTTTTTTTTGTTCTGAGATGGAATCTTGCTGTCACCAGGCTGGAGTGCAGTGGCGCGATCTCGGCTCACTGGAACCTCCACCTCCCAGGTTCAAGCCATTCCCATGCTACAATCTCCTGAGTAGCTGGGACTATAGGGGAGTGCCACCACACCCAGCTACTTTTTGTATTTTTAGTAGAGACAGGGTTTCATCATGTTGGCCAGGATGGTCTCGATCTCTTGATCTCATGATCCACCCACCTCGGCCTCCCAAAGTGTTGGGATTACAGGCGTAAGCCACTGCCCTGATCACAAATTTAGTTTTTAAATTGTAAGAAGTATGAGGTGGAGATTATCACCTCCTAAGGCATTGCCAGGTAGGCTATTGGTTAACAATGGCATTTTGCATTTAACCATTTAACAAAAGAGAGTAAGTAAACAGAAGTGCGGTGGCAGTTACCCATGGGTGTCATTAGATGGCAGCAAAGCAGCTAGCTAATATTTAAGAGCAGAAACTGAAGAGCTTTTGCTCCAAAGAAACATATATATGAGATTTTAAATATTTAAGATTATCTGAACGGAATAAGTGTTTTTGTTTGTTTGTTTGCTTCCAGACAGGGTCTCACTCTGTCACCTAGGCTGGAGCACAGTGGCATGACCACAGCTCACTGCAGGCTTGACCTCCTGGCCTCAAGCTATCCTCCCACCTCAGCCTCTCGAGTAGCTGTGACTACCGGTGCACACCACCACACCCAGCTACTTTTTAAAATTTTTATAGAGATAATGGTCTCACTATATTGCCCAGGCTGGTCTTGTACTCCTGGACTCGAGAGATCCACAAGCTTCAGCCTCCCAAAATGCTGGGATTACAGGCATGAGCCACCACACCTGGTTTGTTTTGTTAATGATGCATTTGACGTTATAGAAAACTTTTCAAAATGATAGCCAAGCATGCAAATGTTTACTTTAATAGTTTTTGGGGGTGGGGTGCTTTTGGATTTTTGTGGCAATACTACTCATGCACAAAAACCTACTGTACCAGTTCTGTGGGTCAAAAATCTAAAATGTTCTTGAGATGTGAGGACCCTTTGACTCTTAACCGTGACTGTGCAATGATCTCTAAGTTTCTAGGAAGCAGTTTCAAGATTCTGCTGCAGACAGTCATTAATAATGAATGACTATTCATCGTAGTATGATGTGGTGATGCCATTTGATCACTTGCCTGCCCTCTTTCTTCACTGCCACTCTCTCCTTCCTCCCAAGAGCACAGCTAGCTTCCAGCATCTTTGCTCATCTGAAGGACAGTTTTTTGCCTAATCAGGCCCAGTTTGAGCAAGGACTCTGGATCGTATCTGCTTCTGAGTCTGTGCTGCTGCCTTCAACAAGTTGCTGCTTGTTCTGTCTCCTTCCTCTACACAATTGACGTGGCCCCCATGGGAATGCCCATGTCGGAAAGCAATGCTGTGCTTTCTTATAACCCGCACCTCTCGTCATGCTGACCTTAGCACGTATTAAACTCACTTCAGAAAAATGAATGCTTACAAAAGAATGTTTTCCACCGGGGTGGGGGGCCCAAAAAAGGCCCAGAAAGCTCTAAGAGCTCACAGTTGGAGAAACACATCTAGACTGTATAGGTGGTAAAAAGACAGCTGAGAAGATAAGGCAGGAAAAGCCACACAGGGACACAAAGGGCAAGGCCAGTGATTCTGACACCACCATTGGCACTTTGTCCACGGGCAACAGGATCAGAAACGTGCGTCGCTTCCGTGGTTACTGTCTGTGCACCGTTCCCAACAGCTTCATTTCTCTCCCTCTGCTGCCAACTCGCCCAACCACCCCTGCCTGTGGCAGGAGAAATCATTCTCATTGGGATAACCGAGAAAACTACAACTGTTTACCCCACTTGACCCTCAGCATTTGAGTGTGTGTGTGTGTATGTGTGTGTGTGTGATCATGTCACAAAATAAAATGTTTCCGCAAAACTTCATTGCTGTAGATGTGGCATATTCCCTATCAGAGGCTGACACTGGAGATTGGATCAAGCAGATGTTACTCCATTAAAAAGAACATGGATCTTAATCCTGTAGGTAAATCATCCACAGAAAATGTACATCACCTGGAGAGCCGTTCATAAAGGATCTTCACTTACCATCCTCAGATTTTTTCAAAGAACCCCAGCAAAGGAAGACATGGGTTTCCATTTTCTCGGGGTGGTGTTTTAGAGTCAGTGCTGATGAAATAAGATATCAGAAAACCAGGGTTCAAAGAGTGATGTCATCCCCACAGGGAAGATTTGGTTCCACACAGGGTAGAGACGTGCTTCTAAAAGTGTCTCTTGTTTTCCTCCTGCAGCTCGATCATTATCCTTCTGTGAGTTACCATCTGCCAAGTTCATCCGACACCCTCTTCAATTCTCCCAAGTCGCTCTTTCTGGGAAAAGTTATAGGTAAGAATGTGGTTCGTTAGGTATAAATGCGTGCTACAAATACATTTGGGTAATGTGAGTTTGGATTTTAAAACTATCAGGTAAATTTCTCTTACTGGGGCCAGTCACGAATATCTTCTCTGTACAGGAAAGTTACGTGGTTGTTCTCGGTGTTGCACAAGCAAAGCGTCAACAAATTATCTTTGGGGGAAATTGCTCATGTAACTCATTCTAAAGCTAATTCGCCTTTGAAATACATTGTGATTAGGCTGGGCATGGTGGGTCACGCCTGTAATCCCAGCACTTTGGGAGGCTAAGGCTGGTGGATCACTTGAGGTCAGGAGTTCGAGACCAGCCTGGCCAACATGGCAAAACCCCGTCTCTACTAAAAATACAAAAATTAGCCATGCATGGTGGCAGGTGCCTGTAATCCCAGCTACTCGGGAGGCTGAGGCAGGAGAATTGCTTGAACCCCGGAGGTGGAGGTTGCAGTGAGCCAAGATCGTGCCACCACACTCCAGCCTGGGTGGCAGAGCGAGACTCTGTCTCAAAAAAAAAAAAAAAAAACAACCAAACAAACAAAAAACACATTGTGATTGGTAATGGGGGCTTCTAAGTCAGCGATGGTAATGGAACAAACGTTGTTTGGTGCGTGGCATAAACTACAACCCAAGCGAAGGCAAATCTGCTCCAGGCTTCTCTATGTAGAATTTGGTCTATTACAGACCTCTACCTACTAGCAATATGTAATTTAACGTTTCCTTTGTCAAAGCATATCAACATGATTCTATCTTCCTCTCACTCGTAAGAAAGCACCTTGATATTATTTGCAGATAAGAAGGCCAATAAGGAATTTGACAGTGTGACAGAACACCCTTCCCCATGTGCGACTGTGAATTCCAGAGTCTCCTTGTCCCTCTCTTCACCAGAGGAGATTAGCACTGTGCAAAGCTAAAAAATGTACCATGAGCCACAGATATGTGAAGATTACACCCTAAATTTTTAAAATATCGATATGATTGGTGAAGTATTTTAAAATATTTAATGTGAAGCCAATGAATTTTGTTCATATGAGGCTGTGTACTGTGAACTGCAATGAAAACAGTAAGATGGTGGTGATGTACAGGTGGGAGGGAGGTCACTCGGCGGCCAGTGTGTAGAAGTGATCAGAATAGCATTAATGGTAAAAATGCTCACTTAAAAACATGCGGCAGGGGTCACAAAATGAGGAGTGAGTAGGAGACTGAACCTATAATAAAAATAATAGACTGGGCGTGGCGGCTCATGTCTGTAATCCCAGCACTTTGGGAGGCTGAGGCAGGCAGATCACGAGGTCAGGAGATCAAGACCATCCTGGCTAACACGGTGAAACCCCGTCTCTACAAAAAAATTTAAAAAAATTAGACGGGCGTGGTGGTGGGCGTCTGTAGTCCCAGCTACTTGGGAGGCTGAGGCAGGAGAATGGCGTGAACCCGGGAGGCGGAGCTTACAGTGAGCCGAGATCACGCCACTGCACCCCAGCCTGGGCGACAGAGGGAGACTCTGTCTTAATAATAATAATAATAATAATAATGTGCACTTATGTAAGATTTACTGTAGGCCAGGCTCCAGTTTAAGCACTTGACAGATATTAGCCCATTCAATCTTCGTCACAATTGTATGAGGTAGTTAAGATTATGATCTCCACTTTTTAGATGAGAAAACTGAACCATGAAGAGATTAAATAACCGGGCCACCTGGCTAATCAGTGGCAGAACCAAAATTTGAACTCAGGCAATCAGACACCAAGGGAGCTCTTTACTGTGCTGTAATCCCTGTGGCAGTTAATCTAGAATGCAAAGAGAAAGACAGAGAGGAAAGATTGGGCAGGTGATAAATGCTGAGGCTGTCCAGGTAAGGGATAAAGCCTATATCTTGTGCCAGGAAGTGGTCAAGAACAAAAAGGATTCCTGGGTTTAGAACCAGGAACACACCAGTCCGGCTGGAGAGGGAGGCATCCAGAAGAGAGGGGGAAAGCAGGTGTGTGCATGAAGCCCAAGACCACACACCTGGTGAACAAGACAGTGGGGAGTGGCAAGTGATAAATCAAAGGGTGGAACTGGAAAACAAAAGAGGGCTAACATGTATTGATCACTGAGCCTTAGATATTGTACGATATGAAAGATAATTAAATAGCTTCTGCTTAATCCTTTGCATCCTGAAAACAGCACTCAGGCACAGTCTCAAATCTAGCTTTGGATTACCTCACCCTGATGTCCTTATCTGAATTTTCTCCAACACTTTCTATAGTTGATGTATTTTTACAGATCTTATCACCACTTTTATGTTCTGTGAACAAGAAGAGACTTTGTGACATCACATGTTACACGTGTAAATATAAGAAACAAACGTCACAACAATCCAATGAAATGAGATCCCTGATTATGAACCTCATTTTGCAGATGAGAAAACTGAAGCAGAAGAAGGTCAATTTGACAAAAGTTACTCAACTAATACTGGCAAAGCAGAGTTTGGAAGCGAGGTCTCTCTGAAGACAGTCCAGACTCTTAAGTGGGTCAAACAATCTTGTCATTCATGGTGAAGCTCCAGAAGAGGGATGTATTTGAAAGTTGAGCGATGCCATCAGTTAGCAACAAAAAGTGGCTGTTTAGTGGAGTAGGGCCTTGGCATTCATGAGTCATGGATCTGAGACTTTGGTGAGTACCCGCTTTCTACCAGAGGTACTCCCACGGTTCAGTTGAGAATACTTTAAAATGTTAAGTGCTCCTTCAGAACCATATGATTCCATCAAAACAAACGCTACACTATGATATGGTGATGTTCCTAAAGATACTACACTATGATATTCGTAAAGTAACATCAACTATAAACATACCCGAAAATAATAGACTTTTTATTACTTTGTGGAACCTGCAAAGTCAAATTTTGATGGGAATGTTGGATGATTTCTAGGTTCTGTCACTATGAGTAATATTCTCTGGTTCCTCTGTTTTCCAGGTCATGTAACTAGTTCACATTTCAGCACAATTCCAATATACTGTATGGCATGGACCTTCAAGGTCGTGAACAAATAACATCATAAAGGCCACATTTTCTACAACTAAGAATGTACCTTGACATCAATCTGTGCAAAGCTAAAAGTGTACCATGAGCCTCAGATACATGAAGGTTACACCCTGTATTTTTTGTACACCCAAGAAAAATGTTGCTGCATACACAAACTAGGTAACTGTGCATGTGGCAGTGAGTTACAGAAAGTACACATAAATACCTGTAAGGAGGTCCACAATTCCAAGATGGAAATGGTGTTATGCAGGTGAGAGTAGTTAGGGCTCCAGCAATGGGTCCTTGGTGCACTGACTTCTAGTGGAGATTATCTCTCATCCCTACAAGCCTGTGACCTCCCTGCAGACCAAGAAAGCATCTCATAGTTCCACCATATACTAACAAGGAGCAAGTGCTCAATAAATATTTGTTGAATTAATAAAGAGTAAAAGGGGAAGGAAACAGAAAGATATCATTGTAGACGTATACTGCAGGGTGAAAGGGTATGGATGATCATCCTAACAGAATCAGTAAGATTCGCACAGAGGTGAGAGCTGCAATCCTCACATATCTCACAGCCTAAAAGTAGGCATCTGACGATCATGAAGTAGAAAGAATGTGGACTTCGGAATCAGGCAGAGCTTGTTAGACTGGAATCCAGTTCTACCTCTGTTAGCATTGAAATCTTGACCATGTTGCTTTCTTAGTTGAACCTCTCAGAGCCTAGGTTCTCTCCTTTGCAAAATGGGGAACACAAATGCCTACTTGCAGGTTGTTAACTCCCTGAGGGCAGAAGGCAGAGACTTTTTTTGAAACTAATCTATTTACAGCAGGCTGATCAGTGCCTAGTATACAGAAAGGGCTCAAAAAATACTTGTGGAGTAAATGAACTACTCTTTTAATATTAAGCTAATAACGTCTTAAGACATACACAACACAATGCCTAATACATAAATAATTACCATTTTTGATGCTAGCTACATGCCGGTTATTATGCTATATGCTGTAAGTACAATACTGTCTGCGTTTCTCACAACACCACAGACCATTGTTACCCTCGTTGTATAGAATAAGGAGCTAAGGCTCAAAACTATTAAGTTTTCTTCTTAAAGTGGGGTTTCCCAACAGCAGAACTATTGACATTTTGGATCAGAAAATTCTTTATTATGGGGCTGTCTTGTTCATTGCAGAATGTTTAGCATTCTCCCTGGCCTTTACCCACTAGATATAAGTAGCACCCCAAGTTGTGACAACCAAAAATGTCTTCTAACATTGCTAAATGTTCCCCAGGAGGGAAAAATTACCACCCCAGTTGAAAACCACAGGCTTCAAGCTACTCAGCGAGTCAGCGGTGACGCTGAGATTTGAAAAGCGTGATTTGTGACCTAAGACCTATGCTTTGCTTCCTGATGACACCTGCACCTTCCAGAATGGTGAGGAAGCAAGGACGAGGTTCTTGCTACTCTGAAGCTAAAATTCTGTTAATAAAATTGAAGGAGTCTCAGTGAAGACCCCAAGAAGACATGTAAGTGCTTGAGAAGCTAATCACTGGCCACCCCTTCAAGCCAATACTCCTTTGATATTTGATCATTTCACAGGGGCAGGAATATGCTTAAATGTCTCTTTGAAAACAACATATACTTCAGTGAGAGACAACCCATTTGCATTCCCCAGTTGTGTAAAAATCCATCTGTACAGACATACAGTATTGAACTTGCAACTGATATGTACTCCGGCCAGGTTTTGAAACCCCCTGGAGTTTCATGCTCCAAAGTTGTTGCTTTACTTTTATAGGATCAGTTTCTGCTACTCAGAAACTGATTCTATAAAAGAAAGAGAAGAAGATGGCTCTAAATACCTAAAATGACTTCACACTGAGCTCTTTGATGAGCACTCCTCAAAAAGGGACACAGAAAAAGGATGAAAGAAAGGCTACCTAATCAAGGACAAGTGTGATCTTTATAAAGGGGATGGAGGATATATATTCAAGAAATAGTAGTGTGATCACTGCCAACCAACAGCAAACTTTTAGAACGGATTCTTACATAATTCTGAATGCTTCTAGAAGGAATTCAGAATCACTAGCAATCAGCAAAGGTTCACAAAGGAGAAATCTCACTAGACATAGTTATGTCCATCTTTCATCCCTCATATCCATCCATCTTTTACCAGCCGAGTGATGTCATAGACTTTATCTTTCAGCAACAAATTTAATGGTCTCTCAAGAAATCTTCAAGGAAGAGAAATATAACTTGAAGCCGAAAGTGGGGTGTTCTGTTTGCTCATGTCCTTTTCAACATCTCTATTAATGCCTTGGAGAAAGACACAAGTAGCATGTTTATTAAGTTTGCAAATGTCACGAAGCTGAGAGGGATGGTTTAATATGATGGATTATAAAAAGCATTTCAAAACCATCTTGACAGGCTAGAAAGATGGGATAAAAATAATAAGATGAAATGTAATAGAAATAAACTTAATTGCAGCACTTAGATAAAAAAAATATATACAATCACCTAAATAGAAGATGGGAGACCCCCAGCATCATGAAAAAACTTAGGAAATTGGTTTGATGGAAAGTCTGGTACAAGCAATGTTACATGGTGATGGATTCTTAAATGAATGTGATTCTGAGCCACACTAGTATGAGAATCATGTCCAGAGCGAGGGTATTAGTCATCTGAGGAGAAAACCAGATAAACACAAGACCCGTAAAGGAAATGTCAGAAGACCTGGGAATGTCTGATCAGAAAAAAATATGATTTGAGAGACGAGAGAATCAATTTTCAGTCTTTGGTAACTGCCACATGCAGGGTGGATTAGACTTAGTTGAGGCTTACTCAGCAAGACTGACATGGACCAAAAGCAGAAGATATGAAGAGGAAAATCTCAGCTCCATATAAGAAAGAACTTCCTAACAATTAGAGCTTTTCAAAAGTGAGTGGTCTCTACTTTGAGGTAATGAACTCTCTATTATTGAGAATATTCAACAAAGGCTAAACGGAAATGTGCCCTGTATATTAAGGAGTTGTCTGGATTGAGTAAAACCAGATTAGATATAGCCTAAATAAACTTTGAAACTTTAAGATTTGTGGTGGGAGTAATTTTCTTAATTAAAAAGGTGAAAATGCAATATTATAGTAGAGCAGGGTCTCCTGTTCCATTGGCAACTAGGGGGATAACATTTAGGGTTCCTTGATATAAAACACTGTTATGATGCATGATGATAGATATGAATTTAGAAGAATATCAATGTACAGCGATCACCACATCACTGTGAGTTGTGTAATTACATACACGACCTGTTTCCAAGGTGGCAATATGCATTTTAATTTTATTTCTGAGCCCTCTTTAATTAATCGTTTTTCAAATTAACTATTTCTGCCATCGCTGTAAATCAGAGTAATATAAAACCGTAATGAAGTAGATCTATTCTGAAATAAAAAGACGGTAGCTTCTCTGTGTAAACTTGAGAAGCTGTGCTTAGAAAGAAGCTGAATACTAATGCAGTGTCGTTGTTGCTTGGCTGATCATTGCTGTTGTCAGTGGCGATGTCTGGGGTGGTAAAAATAAAGCGAACTTCTATCCATTTGAACTAACTAGAGTTTGTAAGTCATATTGGTCTCAGATCCTCATATTTCCCAAACTACCATTATCCAAAGCAATTCCAATAGAAGTGGCTAGTAGCCCCTATATTATTTCTATTATAATCTAAATTGTGAATATCATGATCCTACACGACTTTTTATTGATTAAAAAGTCTTATTCTAAGGCTTTCTAAAACTTTCTGGAGCTTTGGCAAAGCCTCTTCACACAGAAGGAACTGACATACTTAGATCTTCATTTGTTGGTGAAATCATATACTGTGATAACCATGCTGCTCACAGAATATTTCTGGCCAGAGTTATGAATGGAAAAGATTTGTGTGATTTCCAGGCTAGAACATTTAAGTGCTCATGCAAGACCCTCTAGAGTCCTTTTATCCCTTTGGCATGGTGACTGACAAGCCTAAGACAGTGATTTTTTCCGTAAGCCTGGGTCCCTCTGTGACTACAGTGAACAGAAAACTCTTGACTTGTGATGAACATATAGCATGAGATAAAAAAAACTCCTTGCTTTGTTAAGCCACCGAGACTATAGGGCTGTTTGTTACTGTGGCAGAGCCTTGGCCTGTCCTGACTGAGGCATAAGGACTGACTTAAGGGCAGACTTTGCTCTCGCACCCTTGGGTTTGATCTCTGATATAGTTTGGATATTTGTCCCCACCAAAATCTCATGTTGAAATGTAATCCCCAGTGTTGGAGGTGGGGCCTGGTGGGAGGTGTTTGGATCATGGTGGTGGAAGCCTCATGAATGGCTTGGGCCATCTCCTTGGTGATAAGTGAGCTCTCACTCTGAGTTCACACAAAACCTGGATGTTTAAGTATGTAGCACCTCCCCCCAACACTCTTCCTCTGGATCCTGCTTTTGCCATGTACCCTGCCTGCTCCACCTTCACCTTCTGCCATAATCATAAGCTTCCTGAGGCCTCCCCAGAAGCAGATGCCAGTGCTGTGCCTCCTATAAAGCCTGCAGAACTGTGAGCCAATTAAACCTCTTTCCTTATAAATTACCCAGTCTCAGATGTTTCTTTATAGCAGTGCAAGAACAGCCTAATACAATCTCTTACTCTACCATTTGCCGATTGTATGACTTTGTCGGGTTACTTAACATTGTGTGTATCTGTTTTGTCATGTGTAAAATAGGAATAGTAATGGTCTCTGTGTCACGGGATTCAGCAAAATAATACATGTTTAGCGGTTAGCACAGTCTCTGCTGCATAGTATGTGTGTAATACATATTAGTTTTTTACTTTGCATAATCAGCAAATGTATACTCATCATATGTCAGATGCCAGGCATTGTATAAGTCCCTGGAACATCATTAGGGTCCAAGACAGGCACAGTTTCTGCCTTTGGAAACTTTATATATTCAAATCCAGTTCTCAGAGGTTTCTCTTGGGAGAACCCAAAGCAAGATAGGGGATCATACAATGTATCAATATGCACTGGGTCACATCTTTAGAGCTTCAGTTTCTGGAAAAGAAGGTAATGGAAAGTCAATTAGAAGTAAAAAGACAAGAGGGTGGGATAAATGAAAAGAAGTATAGAATTCTTTGGGAGCAAGTAGGGAGGGCACTTGAGCCAGTCCAGGAGTGAGGGAAGGCATACTAGAGGAAGTAACACAGAAGCTGGGACCCTAATGAAGAGTTAGAATGATCTGGGTAAAGCAATGGGCTGAAGTAGAGGCCATAAGGGCGGGGGAGGTCAGTTCTCCATTCTGCACAGCAGTCCACCCAAAACTGTGTGGCTCAAAACAGTAGTTTATTATTTCTGGCAATTCTGTGGATTGGCAGGGTGGTTGTTCTGCTTCATGACTCCAGGCAGGGTGTAAGAATGACTGGATAGCCCGAAATAGCCTCATTCATGTGGCTGGCAGCAAGTGCTGGCTGCCCAGGAGCTCTTTGGGGCCACGAGCCAGGGGCTGAGTTCTCCCCCAAGGGTTCCAAATCATGGCTGCTTGGGCTACCTCATGGCATGGTGGCTGGGCTCCAAGAAGGAGCTTTCCAAACAGCAAATGTAGAAGCTGAAGGTCTCTAAGAGCCACCATTCTTGCCATATGCTATTGACCAAAATCTGGGTTCCAGCCCATGTTCCAAGAGAGAGGAAGCAGACCCTACCTCTTGGTGGCATCGTAGCCAGGTCACATTGCAAAGAAACATGCCATGGGAGTTACGGTTGTGACATCTTTGGAAACACAGTGTGCTATGAGAGAAATTTGAGGAACCACAAGTTGCATTCAGAATGGTGGAAAGTCGGATGTGAAGATGCAAGTGATAAAAATGCTGCAGCATAAGCAGGGTTCAGATCAAAGGCGGCTTTACCAGCAGGGCCACATGTCCTGCTTTGCCTGGGACAGACCCAAGCTACTCCTGCCAGGACAAGAGTACATTATTAGCAGTGCCCACTTTTACTCTAAAAATAGGACTACGCAGTTGTATGATCACCTATCTTATTTGGGTGTTCCCAGGAGAAACCCTGCAGAATTCGATTTGAATATAAGAAGTTTACCTGGGAGACAATCCCATAAAACAAGCAGGAAAGTAGAGACATGAAACAGGGAAAGGGATGGAGCATTATCAAGCCACTCACCACTGTGGGCACCTGGAACATAATCCCACCAGGACACTCTGGAAGACAGTGCGAGACATGCCTCCGAGTGTCCCAACCAAGGCAGGAGGAAGCCAGGGCATCTCGCCACCTCCTCCCATCCTGCAGTGATGAGGGCTGCTTCCTGCGGTACTAACTCCCCAGCACTTCCAGCTTGTCCCGTGTTTACACCCAACACACTGCTGAGGCCAGAGGAAAGTGCAGATGACAGCGAATCGCAGTCAGTGGTTCCTGGAGCAGGACTGAGGTGAATGCCGGGCACTGACAGCATCTGCCATATTACGGATCTATTTATAAGCCATGTTAAGGTTTTAATGTTATCTTAGGGGTTAAAGGAAGTCAAGGAAGGATGTTTTTTAATCCATAGAATAACGTGATCAGATTGACACTTTAGCCAGATAATACCATCTGCAGAGTGCAAAATGCATAACAGGAAGTGAGAAGCTGCAGGGAGACCAAATTGGAGGTTGCCATGGTTATCACAGAATTGCACATTGTAATGCACAAAGCAGCTCACATATGTGGAGAAAATGCAATGTCTTTATCTGTGTCTGATGATGTCGTATTCCTTCTGGGTAGCAAAGGCAAATAAGCTAAACATCCAGGCTGGTTTAAAGCTGATTCTGACTTAATCATTTCAAAATTCCTTCCTGGTTGTGCTCTGTCCCTCATGAATAAAAATGTTCAGTTTCTCGAAGAGCCTTTCCCGTCCTCTGCTTCTTTCTATAAGGTGGGGACCAGGTGTACAGAATATAAAAGGAGACAGGCAGCAACATGTCTAGCTTTAGCATTCTAATGATACCGTGGGCAGGGAGAGACCTGGATGCATGCTGGTCCTTGAGTTTGCATGGCCAGGCATCTGCTGGCCTCCAGCCCAGTGTCCTGTGTCCCTGAGTGCTCTTCTGGCCTTGGAGCTTAAATCTGTGGTTGATGAACTTAGAGTCCCTTTCTTTGACTCAGGCAGTGTTCCCAGGGAGCACCTGCCATCCTGCCCTTTGCTTACTTGCTGTGCCCTCAATCTCCCACTTGAGAGACCCCTAAGCCCTAAGTCTCTTTCGCATCCTCCGTCTCCCCATGGCAGGTTGTCGTCAGCTATCAAGCAGTGAGGGCTTTCATCTAAGGCTTCATGCTGCACGAGAATGAGATGATGCACGTGAGGACCAGAGACCCTGTCGGCTTACTCTTCTTCCCTCTCTACATGAGGCTTGGCTGCCCCATGTTAGTACAGGACCGCCCCCCACCACCACCGACCCCCTACACAGCAACCTCTCCCCAGAGCCCCAGACTGGGAAGCAAGGCAAGAGCCCTAAACCCTTGGTCCCATCCGTCATCCTTTAGAAACCCACTTCTGCTCTCTGGGCCAAAGCTTAGCTCTCGTCTCTCCTGCTGTATCTCCTCCTTTTCTCATAGTCTTCTAGGGCATTAAGAAAGAAAAAAGAAAAAAAGAAAAAAAGCTTTGCTTTTACTTCCTACAAAAAAAAAAAGCACCATCTAACAAATAGCTCCAAAACTCAATTGCTTAAAACAACAATTCTATTTTTATCACTAATCTGCGGGTCAGCTAAGGGCCGAAGTTTCTCTTGTACACCTCTCGTCTTCCTCCTGGGACCAGGGAGTTAGCATGGGCATGTTTTTCTCTGGCAGAGACACGAGAGAACAAGCCACTCACACAAGCACTTTCCAGGCCTTTGGTCTTGTCACATCCACTAACATCTGATTATCTAAACTAAGTCATGTGGCCAAATCCATAGTCGAGGAGAAGAGAAACTTGCTTTCCCTTCAGTGAAGAAAACAGCAAAGTCACATGGCAAAGGCCACGGATACAGGGAAGGGTAAAGAATTAGGGGCCGCCAATGCCATCTTCCATACTTAGGAGGTGGATGCAGGAGAACTCTGTGACCTCCTCGATGTACTAAAAAGCCTGAGTAGGCCCGGCTCGGTGGCTCACGCCTGTAATCCCAGCACTTTGGAAAGCCGAGGCAGGCAGATCACGAGGTCAGGAGATTGTGACCATCCTGGCTAACATGGCGAAACCCTGTCGCTACTAAAAAATACAAAAAAAAATTAGCCGGGCGTGGTGGTGGTCACCTGTAGTCCCAGCTACTCGG
Source organism: Homo sapiens (assembly GCF_000001405.40). Taxonomy (NCBI): domain Eukaryota; kingdom Metazoa; phylum Chordata; class Mammalia; order Primates; family Hominidae; genus Homo; species Homo sapiens. The sequence goes on from NT_187564.1 coordinate 63,592, forward strand.
GAGGCTGAGGCAGGAGAATGGCGTGAACCCAGGAGGTGGAGCTTGCAGTAAGCCGAGATCGCGCCACTGCACTCCAGCCTGGGCAACAGAGTGAGACTACATCTCAAAAAAAAAAAAAAAAAAAGCCTGAGCAAAGGAACTTGGGGAAATCATTTTATTCACTCAAAAGTATGTTCAGTGCTCACATGTACCAGGTGCTAGGCACAGAACAATGGATAAAACAGAAATCTCTTATCTTTATGAACCATGTACTCTCATGAGCATAGACAGAATGAGAAAAGAGTTGTGTAATATAAATGTTAGCAATAAGTGCTATGAAGAAAAGTAAAAGAGGCTTAGCAGGAAAGCATGTTACAATGGCCAGGAAAGTCGTCTTTGAGAAGGCAATATTTAAGCAGTGGCCTTAACAAAGTGAGAAAGCTGGCTGTGTGGACATCTGCTGGAAAAGCCTTCCAGGAAGAGAGAATGGCAGTCCAAAGGCTGTGAGGTAGGGACACGCCTGGCTTGTTCAAGGACAGGAAGAAAACCAACATGGCTGGAATACAGCCATCAAGGGACAGAGTGGCAGGAGACAGATGAAGTCAGAGGGTTAGCCAGCAGCCAATTGCACAGATGGAGACCATCATGGAGAGTCTGCATTTTATTCTAAATGAGATGAGAAACAGTAGAAGGTTTTGAGCACATAAGTAACACAATCCAATTTACATATTAGAAAGGTCATTCCAGCTGTGGGATGCTGTATTAACTGCAGAAGGGGTGGGCTGATATAGGGGCAGGATGGACACTAAGAGACCATTTCAAATACAGTTGTGGAGTCCATGTGAGAGTTAGAGGCACGTGCACCAACGCAACAGCAGTGATGGTGATGGAGAAATCTTTGGACTAGGAACACACTGAAGTCAGAGCCCATAGTATTTGGTGATCAACCGGATGTGGTGGGTGAGAGAAAGAGAAGTCAAAGAGCGTTTCCCAAGGTATTGGCCTGAATAGCTGGCCCAGTGGTGGGGCTGCCTACTACAATGAGGTACCCTGGGAGAGAAGTAGTTTAGGAACTGTGGAATAAAAATTAAGACTTCCATTCTAGCCACATTCAAGGCTATTCCATGGATGCATAGCACTGAGGTGCATATCAGAAACCGAACACCACCTGTAACACGGCCTTTTCCTGTCTTTATCTCCCATCTCCTCCTCAGGCAGATAGATGTCTTGGCTTGACTAGGACATTGATCGTTACTGGGAAAGGCAAAAAAGAAAAAAGCCTATTGATAAATGTCAGAATATATCTCCATTATAAAGTCATTCAGGTGTTGCATATGAACGCAATGATGAAGAAGAACAAATTACTGATACACAAAACAGCTTGGATGAATCTCTAGAGAATCGTGCCAATGGAAAAAAAGCCAGTCCCAAAAGGTTACATACCCAATGATCCCATTTATGCAACATTTTTGAAATGACAAAATTTTACAATTGAGGACAGATTAGTGAGTGCCAAGGGTTAGTGACTAGGACAGGAGGGAAGGGGAAGGAAGAGAGGTGTGGTTAGAAAAGGAAAACAAGGAGGCCGGGCATGGTGGCTGACTCCTGCAATCTCAGCACTTTGGGAGGCTGAGGCAGGAAGATCACTTGAGGTCAGGAGTTCGAGACCAGCCTGGCCAACATGGTGAAATCTGTCTCTACTAAAAATATAAAAATTAGCCAGGCATGGTGGCCCATGCCTGTAGTCCCAGCTACTCGGGAGGCTGAGGCAGGAGAATTGCTTGAGCCCGGGAGACAGAGAAGTTGCAGTGAGCCAAGATCATGCTACTGTACTGCATCTAGGTGACAGAGCTAGACTCCATCTCAAAAATTTAAAAATAAAAAAGAGAGATTCTTCTGCAGTGGGAATTATTCATTATCCTGACTATGGTGGTGGATGCACAGACCTACACAGATGATAAAATTGTGCAGAATCACATTTGCACACATACAAGAGTACAAAATCTGAAATAAGATCATTGGATCATATCAATGTTAATATCCTGATGGTGACACTGTACTCCTGATTTGCAAAATGTCTCCAATGGGGAAACTGGGCAAAATACACAGGGGATCTCTCTGTACAATTTCTTACAACTACATGTGATTCTACAATGGACTCAATTAAAGTTTCAATTAGAAAAAGCAATAAAAAGCCGGGCACGGTGGCTCATGCTTGTAATCCCAGCACTTTGGAAGGCTGAGGCAGGTGGATCGCCTCAGGTCAGGAGTTTCAGACCAGCCTAGTCAACACGGCAAAACCCCGTCTCTACTAAAAATACAAAAATTAGCCAGGCAAGATGGCGGGAGCCTGTAATCTCAGCTACTTGGGAGGCTGAGGCAGGAGAATCGCTTGAACCTAGGAGACGGAAGTTGCAGTGAGCAGAGATCACACCACTGGACTCCAGCCTGGGCAACAGAGGGAGACTCCATCTCAAAAAAAAAAGAAAAAAGAAAAGGAAAAGCAATAAAAGTAAAAGAAGACCAAGTCCACCTTCTTCTGTGGAGCCATTTATTCATGGGATATTTAGTCAGTGTCTCCTAGGGGCTAGTGCCATCCACCCTGGGGGAGCGTGAGGGACAGGAGAGGGACCTGCAGCGATTAAGCCACCGGTTCTACCCATTCCCTCTTTACTTTCCTGCGCTAGCCAGTAGAGATTAGGAAATATGTGGGAATTATTATTTATTTACAGCTTAGAATTTTGTAGTTCTTTTAGAGTCATTATTGAAGAGAATGATTAATATAATACATTTCTTTAAAAAGGAGCTAGAGAAAATGGGGTAGATTAAACTGCCTGCAACTTCTCTCAAGGAAAGTCCCCGATGGCAGCTTATCGCCTTGTGATTTATCTCTACCTCCTAAGAGTAGAATGCAGCAAAATTGATAAATGAACAAATGGCAAATAGTTAATTGAAATTTCTGGTCAGTTGCCTTTGCGTTTTACTATAAGGACAGAAGCAGCAGGAAAGCACTGATGAGAAAGCTCATTGAAGTGATAGGTGAGAAATAATATTTAAACTGAAGAGAAGAAATTATGTCCTGTTTTTCATATCCTAAAGAACATATAGCGTAGTCTTAATGTCCAGAATCTTCTCAAGGCTGAAGGAAATCTATTTTAAAAGAATTCACTCAGGGAGTTCTAGTTCAAGGCTGGCTTCTCATTCTTTTTTAATTGCATTGACTTTCATTCTTAGACATTTATTGGGCTTTATTATTATTATTGCCTTATAGAATCATAGGAGGCCCTAAGAAATAATTTGTTGAAACTTTGTCACATTACAGCTGAGGAAAATGAGGCCCAGAAAGGTTAAATGAAGCCAAGGTCACATAGCTGGTACTTCACAACGTTTCCTTTTTTTTTTTTTTTTTTTGAGACGGAGTCTCACTCTGTCACCAGGTTGGAGTGCAATGGCGTGATCTCAGCTCACTGCAACCTCCACCTCCCGGGTTCAAGCAATTCTCCTGTGAGTAGCTGAGACTACAGGCTCACACCACCACACCCGGCTAATTTTTGTATTTTTAGTAGAGACAGGGTTTTACCACATGAGCCAGGATGGTCTCGATCTCCTGACCTCATGATCCACCCACCTCGGCCTCCTAAAGTTCTGGGATTACAGTCATAAGCCACCACACCCAGCCTTCAACGATATTTTCAATATAATATACTGTCAATATCAGAATAATCTTTGCTTATCACCCAAATGTGTCTTTAACAAGGACAATAAATAATTAATACATCATAACCTGCAAACATACTCTCAATATCTAGATAAAACAGCTGCAAAGGCAAATCTTGTCATAAGTGTAGGCTGGAAGAGGATATTTTGAACATTGAGGGTCAGGCTCAATACAGGCTCTGTGTCAGAACACCTGCAATTCCAGTTGCCTCACCTGCTCGAGGAGCTTTAACAGGTTTCTTACAAATCTCAGCTTCAGTTTTCTTAACCGTGAAATGAGAATGATAGTAGTGCCAATATCATAAGCTTTGTTAGGAAGATGAAAGATGCTATCATGAATGTAAAGGGCTTATCACACAGCCTGGCACACAGTGAGTGTCCAGTACGTCTTAGGCAGTATCATTACATCTAATCTTTGACTTTTAGCTAATACAAATAAAGAATGGCTGACTCCAATCCTGGGTCACTCATAAAAAGAACACTCAAACAATGAAAAACTGAAAAAAACTTTTGATTGAAAACCAATTGGTATCATCATCTTTCCATGGTTTCCAAAATTAAATTATTTTTAATTAACAAAAGCAACCCCCACCAAAAAAAATCATTTATTGTTAAAATGTGATGAGAGATCAGAAGTTCTGTTTTAATCACATTTTTAGTATTTGGTTAAAGAAGATTGTCAAAACACTTATTTCTGTCCCAAATCTTCAACTCACCTGTCTTTGACACACAACATACTTTTGCATACCCAATTGTTTTGAAATAAACAAACATTTGAAAGCCAAAATTCTAGGCTGGGCTCGGTAGCTCACACCTGTAATCCCAGCACTTTGGGAGGCCAAGGCAGGTGGATCACCTGAGGTCAGGAGTTCGAGACCAGCCTGGCCAACATGGTGAAATCCCATCTCTACTTTAAAAAACTACAAAAATTAGCCAGGTATGGTGGCAGGCACCTGTAAGCTCAGCTACTTGGGAGGCTGAGGCAGGAGAATTGCTTAAACCCAGGAGGTGGAGTTGCAGTGAGCCACCAAGATCATGCCATTGCACTCCAGCCTGGGCAACAAAAGCAACTCTGTCTCAAAAAAAAAAAAAAAAAAAGAAAGAAAGAAAGAAAGAAAGAAAGAAAGAAAGAAAGAAAGAAAGAAAGGAAGGAAGGAAGGAAAGAAAGAAAGAATTCTTATTATTATAACATTCCAAAGTATTCCAGAAGGCATGGAAAATTTTTGAATTTCTTATTTATATACAGTTGATCATTATTATTATACATTTCATATTTACAAATTCACCTACTCTCTAAAATTTATTTAGAACCTCAAAAGTAGTATTCTTGGTGCTTTTGTGGTTATTTGCAGACATGTGCTGTGCAGCAAACAATTTGTCATCAATGTGTACATTCTCATTTGAAGTCAAACAAGGTGATGCCCTTGCCTTCTAGTTTCAGCTCTTATACCATAAACAAGTATCATTTTTGTAGTCTATTCAGTGCCATTTTTTTTGCATTCTTGTGTTTTTATTGGTGATTTTACTGTATAAAATGGCCCCTAAGTGGAGTGCTGAAATGCTATCTATTGCTCCTAAGCACAAGACGCTGCGATCTGTCCTGTGGAGAAAATACATCTGTTAGATGAGCTGTCTTTAGGCATGACTGATTGTGCTGGCAGCCATGAGCTCAATGTTAATAAATCAACAACATTTATTTCAAAACTGAATATTAAATAAGATACACACATAAAGCAAGGTAATGTATTGGTTGGTTGATAAAATGTTATGACCAGATGCTTGCAGGAACCTAACCCTGTATTTACTTTAGGAACAATGTTTTAGTATTCACTAATTGAGTGTTAGCAGCAACTGTATGAAACATAGCTACTGCAAATAGTGACAATTGACTGAATTATTTTTAACCTGCATCACATGAATATGATGATACATTATGTTTTTATATTATTTTGCAGTTTAAACAGCTCTTCCACAGCTATTATCACACATGATGTTCATGGAGCGTTACAGTTTGGCTGTGTCCCCACCCAAATCTCATCTTGAATTGTAGCTCCCATAATTCCCACTTGTTGTGGGAGGGACCCGATGGGAGATAATTGAATCATGGGGGGGTTTCCCCCATACTGTTCTCATGGTAGTGAAGAAGTCTCATGAGATCTGATGGTTTTATAAGGGGTTTCCCTTTCAGTTGGCTCTCATTCTCTCTTGCCTGCTGCCATGTAAGATGTGCCTTTCACCTTCTGCCATGATTATGAGGCCTCCCCAGCCATGTGGAACTGTGAGTCCATTAAACCTCTTTTTCTCTGTAAATTACCCAGTCTCAGGTACGTCTTTATCAGCAAAGTGAAAACAGACTAATACATGGAGGTAAGAGGAGAGTGGTTACTGCTCAGCACACTAGATTAACAAGTCCAACTAAGGCTACCCAGGTAGAGCCTGGTCTTCTCCTTCTGGTTTGTGAAATCTCATGGTGCTTCCTATAGCATAAAGACTGGCTGTCACTCAACACCACTGCATCTTAAGGTCCGTGGAAGGGGAACATAACATGTTTCGAAGAAAAAGGTCTGGGCTACAAAGACCCTTTATGTAATCTTGCTAACGACCTGGAATTTAAACTTTGGAGAGCTTGAAGGTTAACAAATTGGAATAAAAAGAAATCAAGTCACTCCTTGTTTGAATGCTCTGAAGAACAAAACAGAAAAACACAATGAAATGGTAACAGAAGAAGCAGATTTGGCCCAATAAGTCTATGCTTTGAATGTTCCTCCGGCACTAACATGGCCACATTTGGGAAGACTGGCATCCCCACAGACTTTTCTGTAGCACTTTGAAGGAAGAATAGAGCAGTTGTAGAAAAACAAATGTTTGCATGAAAGAATTATTCACCTCTTAAAAATCTATAGGGTGTGAATAATCCTGCTATAAAAAGCATTAAATGTTTATAACAGATATTTAATGGGACTGTTATGTTTTTTGGCAGCAAGCATGGCTAGATTTTGAATGTCACAGCTCTGTGCTCTGGTGATAAGACAGACTCTGTGGTCTAAGTAAGAATTATTTTCCTGCTTTTAAATGTAGCTGTTAAAAAACAATAAAGTGTATTTATCTAAGGAAGATAATCTTCTAAAAGAAGTGTTTAATAATTTTTAATTCACAATTTATACTACTTCTCCAAGGTAAATTCATTTTCCAACTGTTACTCCATCTTTATTGACTGGGAGGAATTAGCATTCAAAATACAAACTCAGAGGTTAAAGCAAAGCCATACACAGAAGTGAGCCTTATTCCATTGTCTTTTATCACGGGTGCCAGATTTATTTAACAGACTGTCTTTCAGTCTCACTTACAGTAACTAGACAGGTACTATGGAGGACAGTGTATGTTGAATGCCTTCCAAGTGTGAAACACCTGCCTGGCACTACATTATCACTAATTCTAACCTTGCAAGTAAGTGCCTACTTAAATCTGCACTTGACATGTGAGGAAAGAGGCTCTGAAGTTTTAAAGTGACATGTGCCAAGTCATATAGCTAGTAAGTGGTAGAACCATGATTCCAGGGTGGGTCTTTCTGTGCTTGTTGGTTTATTTACTGTCTGTGTTTGTTTTATGAAAGAGAAAAGACCCTGAGAGATAGGCATAGTACAGGTGACCCTTGAACAACAGGAGAATTAGGGGTGCTGACCCCCTATGCAGTCAAAATTTTGCATACAACTTTTGGCTTTTCAGAAACTTACTGCCAATAGCTTACTGTTGACCAGAAGCCTTACTGATAACATGAACAGTTGATAAAGACATATTTTGTATATGTATTATATACTGTATTCTTATAATAAATTAAGCTAGAGAAAAGAAAACATTATTAGGAAAATCATAGGAAAGATAAAATACATTTATTATTCCTTAAATGGAAGTGGAACATCATAAAGGTCTTCATCCTCATCTTCTTCACATTGAGTAGGCTGAGGAGGAGGAAGAGGGGTTAGTCTTACTGTCTCAGGGTTGGCAGAGGCAGGAGAAAATCTACATATAAGTAGACTCATGCAGTTTAAAACCATATTGTTCAAGGGTCAACTGTGTATTTATTTGATGCTTCAGAAAGGGGACCATGTCAATTCCTGATAAGGTTCTCTCCTCTTTCCTTTTCCTCCATCTCTCTGTGTCGATCCTAGTGCTCTCATCGGCTTTTAACCAGTAGAGGTCTCCAAACTGTCTTGTGGCAGCCTGGGCTCCCTATACACAGAAAGACCTGGCTTCAAAATTCTGGTTAATATGGGAAGTGCATTAGGAAGTAGAAAGGAAAGAAAAGTCAAACAATAAGGAAAGGATTAATATAAATCATAAATTAATTTTGTGGGCCTAATTACTATTTTTTAAAACACTGTAAGTTTTAGTAGATTTTCTTACTCTAAGTTATAGAAGTCAAACCCTAAAACACGTTAAAAAAAATCTTTTTGTTATTTCTTAACTATTACGGTTATTTTATCAAAATTAATTAATATCAAATTAATGATAATACAAAGGAAGTCACATTATTAATTAAACAAAGTGACTTAGCCTTGCAAATAAAACACTATCGTGTGGATTAATAGTTTGAAGGTTTAACTTTACAGCCTTTTCAATTGACTGTAATTTAGAGCATTTTTAGGTTCACAGAAAAATGGAGCAAAAAGTACAGAGAGTTTCCATATACTCCCTCACCCCTCCCCACGTTATACATAGTTTCTCTTCTTATTAACATCTTTCTACGTCATGTTTTTGGTGTTACATACTTGCCACACATAGTACCCTAATAATCTCTTGGGCCGTACATTCTCTGGGTTTGGACAAATGTGTAATGACACAGATCCACCATTACAGTATCATAGAGAGTGGTTCCCCTGCCCTAAAAGTCCTCTGTCTCCACCTGTTCATCCCTCCCTCCCCTCTGCTCCTTGCCCGGTCCCCAGGCAACTACTGATCTTTTTCCTGCCTCTATAGCTTTGCCTTTTCCAGAATGTCATATAATTGGAATCATACAATATGTACCCTTTTCAGATTAGCTTCTTTCACTTTGTAAAATACATCTAAGTTTCCTTCAGGTCATGGCTTGATAGATCATTTCTTTTGATTGATAAATAATATTTCAGCCTTATTTTTGTAAGGAAAAAATCAAATCAAGAAACTAAAGTTTGAACAGCCACTATAGAAAAAAAGGCAAAAGTCAATAAACAAAAACAATTGTTCAGCTTCGCTCATAATTGTATACACCTCCCAGCTCTTGGACTAGGTAACATCAGTGGCCAGCAAGATGCCACCGATTGAGTGATTGTTTTTATTTCATGCCATGTGACCCATTGGCCCTCCTTTTCCTGACACATTTATAATCATCTTAATCCCAAAGCAACTGTTTTTAACAAATATGCATATATCCTCTGATTTTCTGTTGCTATAACAGAATACCCAAGAGTGGGTAATTTATAAAGAAAATGACTTTATTTCATTCATGCTTCTGGAGGCTGGGAAGTCCAAGGTCCAGGGGCCACTTCTGGTGAGGACTTTCTTGCTGTGTCATGGCATGGTGGAGGGCATCACATGGTGAGAAGGCAAGACCAGGTCAACTCAGGTCTCTCTTCCTCTTTCTTTCTTTCTTTTTTTCTTTTTTTTTTTTTGAATTGGAGTTTCACTCTTGTTGCCCAGGCTGGAGTGCAATGGCATGATGTTGGCTCACTGCAACCTCCACCTCCCGGGTTCAATTGATTCTCCTACTTCAGCCTCCGGAGTAGCTGGGATTACAGGCACGTGCCACCACGCCCAGCTAATTTTTGTATTTTTACTAGAGATGGGGTTTCACCATGTTGGCCAGGATGGTCTCAATCTCTTGACTTCGTGATCGGCCCGCCTTGGCCCCCCAAAGTGCGGGGATTACAGGCGTGAGCCACCGCGCCCAACCTTTTTTTTTTTCTTTTCTTTTTTTTTTTTAAAGACAGTCTCACACTGTCGCCCGGGCTGGAGTGCAATGGCACAATCTTGGCTCACTGCAAGCTCCGCCTCCCAGCTTCAAGTGATTCTCCTGCCTCAGCCTCCCAAGTAGCTGGGATTACAGGCGCCCACCACCATGCCCAGCTACTTTTTTGTATTTTTAGTAGAGGCGGGGTTTCACTATGTTGGCCAAGCTGGTCTCAAACTCCTGACTTCGTGATCTGCCCGCCTCATCCTCCCAAAGTGCTGGGATTAAAGGCATGAGCCACCGCGCCCCGCCTCTCTTCCTCTTTCTTTAAAGCCACCAGCCCCATCATAGGGACCCACCGCGATGACCTTATCTAATTCTAATTACCTCCCAAAGGCCCCACCTCCAAATACCATCAACATATGAATTTAGAGATTAAGTGTCCAACACATGAAATTTGGGGGACACATTCAAACCATAGCATCTTCTTTAAGATAATGTAAAACTATTAAATTAAATAATAGAGTAGAAATCACACTAATAATTTGTGGGTCTATTCAGATTATATATTACCTAATAATTTTTACCTATTTTTTGAAAATTGTTCCAATCATTCCCCCTGCTTCCTTTTCAAAAGAGTCAAACATAGCCAGTTAATTTAAGGTATCTGCAAAACCTTTCCACCAAGACTTTTATGGTACAGAGAAGTGACTCATAAGCCACAATTCAATTAAATTTAGCAAATATTTCTTGGACAACAACTACATGCTTGAGGTTGGCATGGGGACCTGTTTTTAAACCTCCTGTTCATTCTACTTTGACTTTTTAATTACAACAGATTAAAATATCTTATTCAGCAAAAAAAAAAAAAAAAAAAAAAAAAGAGAGAAAAACCCACTTTGTATATTGAATTTTTGAATACACAAGAGAAGTGCAACTCAGGGTGGTGGGATTCCTACCTAGCAGGCCTGTCTCCCTTTGATTACCCCAATATTCCAAAGGTGCAGGTTTTGTGCACCAGGCACTCTAATAGGACCCTATCAGCTCAGCGCTCTCAGAAATTTCAGTTGTCTCCCAGCCCCTAGAAAGTCACAATAGCTCCAGGGTTGTGCTTAACGGGCCATAGTGGGAGGATTTGGAAAGGAGAAGGTGAATCTTTTCTGTGAAAAGCAGGTGGAGGAAACTGAAGAGTGGGGAGAAGAGAGGTGGATGCTGACCTGAATTGTGTTTTCAGGAGCAGGAAGAGTGTGCTCTCTGCTTAAGAGATGACCTGAATGGCAAGACTACATGTCACTCGGATGGTACACAGATACTGTCTTGATGGGAGTTTTCGGAACAGATTTGTCCTCCCAGGGTGAAATAGCAGAGAGATTTGAGGCAGCCCTCAACTAGAGTATGACCAATAAACACCAACTTACTTGGTTTTTTTCATTCCTTTTTCCCTGTGTCCAAGAAGCAAAATGATAATGTAAATGAATACACACACACTCACACTCACACACACACACACACACACCCCATGTTGGGGAGGCGGGTAAAGGAACAGAATTGCTCTCAGCAAACACTGGTGGCATCAAAATAGCCAATCATGCTGATGGCTGCCACACAGCTCATGGAAGCCTTCCACAGGCCAGCTCTCTTGCTGTTGGCTGGCTGGACTTCCCAGCTCAGTCCCTCACCTCTTTACAGGACAAGGCACACCAGAAACCAAGGCTGTTGGGGGAGGCAGCAACAGAGACCAGACGTTCCCTCTGCACACACATGATGTCATCAATAGAAACTCTGCTGATGATGAACCCACTTTCACACAAACCTTTTAAAGCCTGAGTTATTTTTTGCAATGACAAAAATAACAAACCACATTTTTTTAAATAGCTTCCTTAATAATAATGGAAATTCAGGTGACATTAATGAAAATTGTAGCACATGTTCAAATCAGAATCTATGTTCAGTGTTATATGCAGAATATAAAGGGATTTCTTTTCTCAATTGATAGAAAAGGGAAGTCATATTTAAGTAGTCACGGTATCCTAGATTTTTAATATAGCAACATAATTGAATAATATTTTGATGTATCTGGTTTTAGTATTTAAGGTGATAAAATATTAAATTTAAGCTTAAAATTAAAAATAGAGGAAAAAGAAAAACAAATTGAACTGAAGTGAAAATGTTTCTTGTTTTTTAAAAAATCATTGTACATAACAGTTTTCACCTTCACTTTTAGAAATCAAAGCACAACCCTCTATCACATGGTAAAGAGAGTCAGCCATACGGAAAACCAAGCTGATTGTTCTATTCCTGTGCAAATTCTAACCCTAAAATATTTCTCTATAATGCTTTAAGAAAGAAAGTAAATCTGGAAAACATTTTTTATCATTTTGAAAGCTGCCTTTGTTTTGATTCTCATTGTGAAGGTCAAGGATAGGAGAATTTCCAGAGATGGGAATTTATCTTCACTTTATGCTATCATTTCAGAATGAATAGTGATCAGGTTCTAAATAATGCATTCCACAGGTGTGAGCAACCACCCTATCACTTTCTATCTTCATGTGGCTGGTGCCTACAACACTAAATTTCTGCGGCAGATTCATTAAGGTAGTTGTTCATTCCCTGTCGTAATTAGACCTCCCATTTCAGCCTTTTATGTCAAATCCATCACTCACCCTGGCACTCAGGCTCACCTCTTTACAAAGCCCTTCCCTGGTGCTATTCTGGCTCTAAACACAGGTGATAAATGTGTCAGCATGGGGCACATTCCTGTCCCTGAGGACCATCAATCGTTAAGTACAGAGAGCTTTTTCCAGCAGCCTTCTAAGATTTATACCCATGAGGATATTATTTTTGTGGCTGCATGAAGGAGAATTATTACTTGAAATGGGTTTTGTGAAAGGATGGTTTTGGTGTTGCTTTGGCACCATTTTAAGCTTCTTTTCACAAAATTGACCGGCGCAAGTCAGAATTTATACTTCTATGAATGTAGATCTTCACCATCTGATGGTGCTGAGTCCTACAGAGAAGAGGATTTGAGACTTTCCAGTTTTTAGAGATCTCTACGATGTGCAAGAATCTAGATATTCAGAGGCCGTACTGACTTCAATCACATGGTAAATTAGTATATGAGAGTTCGCAGTAATAAAAGAAGTATGTAAGTGATCAGCATGTGTTTTAGTCAGGGTTCTCTAGAGGGACAGAACTAATGGAATATATATATAATATATATATATATAAAATATGGAATTTATTATTAAGTAATAACTCACACGATCACAAGGTCCCACAATAGACCATCTGCAGGCTGAAGAGCAAGGAGAGACAGTCCGAGTTCCAAAACTGAAGAACTTGGAGTCCAATGTTCCAGGGCAGGAAGCATCCAGCACAAGAGAAAGATGTAGGCTGGGAGGCTAGGCCAAGTCTCCCTCTTCACATTTTTCTGCCTGCTTGTATTCTAGCCGTGCTGGCAGCTGATTAGATGGTGCCCACCCAGATTAAGGGTAGGTCTGCCTTTCCCAGCCCACTGACTCAAATGGTAATCTCCTTTGGCAACACCCTCACAGATACACCCAGGACCAATACTTTGCATCCTTCAGTCCAATCAAGTTGACAGTTAGTATTAACCCTCACAGCATGGGAGGTAATGCGTATGTTAAATAGTTTCATTTAGCCATTTCACAAGGTATACAGATTCCAAAACGTCATGTTGTATACCACAAATATATGAAATTTCTACTTGTCAATTTTTGAAAAAAAATGTTTAAAAGAAGTGTGTAAATAACTTCTTACTTTAGATATAAAATCTTAAGGGCCAGGAAAAGGGCACCAAAATCCAGCCTTTGACATCTCAGAAGAAGCGATGATTAATTTCATTTCATTCTGTTGGTTTCCATGGAGTGGTGCTGGGTGGTGAGGCAAACACAGCAGCAGGAATGTTAACATTTCATATTTTAGCCCTAGGAGTAAAGAAAAAAAACATGTCCCAGATCAGCACTAGCTAGAACCAGGAAACCCCAAAAGCAAAGGTTTTTTTGTTTTGTTTTGTTTTGTTCTGTTTTTTGTAAAAGACAGGTTTTCACAAAGGAAGTTTTCCAAATTCTATGTATAAGAGAGTTGAGAAGGAAGATTTTTCTCTCTTCTTGCCCAGGAGGACAAAGGGAAGAGTACCACATTAAGCCATTCAGGTAAAGTGAAGCTTATTGAACGCTGTGGATTAGGATAAAACTAATAGAGTTTTCATTTTTAAGCCAGTTCAGATATTCAGATTAATTATGGACGTAATGTAGAAAATACCAATTTCTGCAAGTTCTACATTTCATGTGAAATCCCAAAGAGGTTAAAGCTGATGGGTTTTAACTGATGAAAACACGTGCCTCTGATTAAAAATGTTTGTAGTGATGAAAACAAAGCATGCTAGAGTTACAGTGTGTAGCATGCTGAAGCCACCAGCAGAGCTTAGGGGACAAAAACAACTGTTTCCTAAGAGAAAAAGAGGCTGAGTATCTTAAGCCTGGGGAAGGGAAAAGACAGTAGTTAGCAAGCTCAGGTTAGCCACTGGTATTACTCTACCTTTCATGAGACTCTTCACTGGGGAGGTTGGGGAGATTCGGTCTCACCTAAAGGAGAGATGGCTCGTGAACCCAAGGATGCTGCAGGGACCCTGGCCACCACTTGCAGCCCAAACACTAGAATGAGGACCAGAGAACACAATCTAGCTGCTTCCCATCCATCCCCTCCACCCCAACATCTGGTCTCAGCAACTTCCTCTGCCCTACACTGGGATGCCCTCCTTAGTTGATCTGAACCATGCAGCAGATGAAACATGTTGGCCTGACAAGTAGCAGATGGCTATAATTGCCTGAGCCATCTACACCGGCAAATTTTTCTTCTTTATTTGCATATGAGTAAAATTTTTCCCAGTGTTAAATTATGGTGTGAGTAGAGATTTTTTGAGGGAGCACAGCGCAGTTGTATAGACATCGTGATTGACAAAAAATAAATAAAATAAAATAAAATAAATGACCAAAATCTGCTAAATGAATTTGAATTAAATTGTTCTAATGCTTTCTTTTTCTTTGTAACTCTTCACCACCACCTCAATACATGCATTCCTGGACATTCACGCATACACTCACACAAACACAAGCATGGTATTTTTTGTGTGTGAGACACTGAAGGTAGCATGAAATAGCAACCAAAAAATCTGCAGTATTAAAGTTAGATATGACTTGGTTTGACTTGCAAATCAACTGCCTCACTAGTAAGATGACTTCTGGTATATGGATATGTCTCTCAGTTTTACAGGCTTGTTTTCGGATTAATGGTAATAGATGTAAAGAATTGGGCACGGTAAGTCAATAGTCAAAGCTATTCAACAAATTGAGGACAAACAAGGAAATGGGTTAGGAATTGGTCTGTAGCCAGTCTCAGAAATGTTGTATTAACCTTTGGGATATAATCCCCCAAAATTAAAGTATAGTGATTCATCCAAAAGTACAAAGTGTTACTAGCAAGATGGATGAGGATTTCCATCTAACATTTTTCATCTTCTTATCCCTGACACATTATTAAAACACCTAGATTTTGGTAAAAGAGGAGAAGTCATGTCTTGGACAGGATTGAAGGTTGTGTCAACATTCCCTATGCTTTCAAGTTTCAGCTTTAGAATCCAAAACCCCCGGGCACAGTGGCTCACATCTGTAATCCCAGCACTTTGGGAGGTCGAGGCAGGCACATCACTTGAGGTCAGGAGTTCAAGACAAGCCTAGCCAACATGGTGAAACCTCATTTCTACTAAAAATATGGAAATTAGCCAGTCATGGTGGCGCATTACTATAATCGCAGCTACTCGGGAGGCTGAGGCAGGAGAACCGCTTGAACCCGGGAGGCAGAGGCTGCAATAAGCCGAGATTGCATTGCACCACTGCATTCCAGCCTGGGCAGCAGAGCGAGGCTCCATCTCAAAAAAAAAAAAAAAAAAAAAAAAAAAAGAATCTAAACCCTTTGGTTCACAGATGGAAGGAAAAAGCAGGCGGTGTTTCCTATTCTATGTGTATGCCATGCCTCGAGCCCTGAACAGGCTACTCATCTGTGGCCAATATTATATTATAACCTCTCCATTCTCAGAAGGCACGCTGGCACCCATCTCTGCAAGAAAGGCATCAAATTGTCTGTAAGTCACAGAAATGTTATTGTATTGTCCTTTATTCATTCATTCAGAATATACTCTCTAAGCATCTATGTAATTAAACATTACTAAGCTTACATATAATTAACCTCGAAATAATAACTAAGCATTGTTAGTTTTATGTACGGCTAACTTAAGAAATAAACTCACTTTCTAGTTATCAGTTTTGGAAAACAAAAGAGCTCTATAACAATTTTGAATTAATCAAAAATTGGAGAATTCTGTGCAAACCTATAATCCTTCCCTCTTTAGGGTGAAGGAGCAACGCTTTGTGTTACTTAAAGACACACTTTGCCATTGTGATTAACTATAATAACTTTTAAAATAATCAAAAAATCAGTCCACTTTCTTGTCTATTTGTGTATTGATCACTAAAATTATTGTACCTAGTATGATCAACTTTGTATATTACTGTATTTCATTAAAGCAGCTAACTTCTCTTGTCCAGACATAAGAGAACACTAGAAGACAAAAAACAAAAAACTTTTATGAATCTCTTTTCCTTACGAACACTAATTTTATACCATTTTAACATACTTGAGGTGGCAAAAATAAACATATATATATTATATCATCCAAAAGTATTTGCATATTTTATTAATCTATTGCCATTCTAAGAATTCAGGGTAAGTTAAAATTGTGTTACCAACCAGCATTTATTTTGCATCTGTTTCACTCTTGAAATTGTCTAGGTTTCAAAGATTATTAACTAATTAACTTCACCATTTGTCTAAGGTCTTAAAGTTAGTTAAGGATCGAGAAATCACAATTTTTGCAAACATAATGAATCCTGACACCCAGCACTTAAAAATTTTACAAAACTTAATTCTTTTAAAAATCCATTACCTTTTCATTTAATTGACTATAATTATATGTATGTATGTGTATACATTTTAAACAAGTTATAAAATTTGTGATGATCCACTTATAAAAACAATGTAGGAAATTTAGGAACTTAAATGATAAGAAATTTATCATTGGTCTCGTACAAACCAAAGTATTATTCTGATATTATTTTTATATGATAAATGAAATTGTAAAGACCCTAAGTCGTGCTCAAGGCTCTTCTTCTATCTTGAACTAAGGTTTTCTTCTTATCTTGTAACTATAGTAACAAGGGCTACAAAAGAAGCACAGCTTAATATTTTTCCTTTTAGACATTTTTGACTACTAATATGGTACAGATATTCCTAATGTGCACTCATAATGATAGAGTGAATATTTTAATCAATTTTTTTTTTTTTTGAGACGGAGTCTCGCTCTGTCGCCCAGGCGGGAGTGCTGTGGCGCAGTCTCGGCTCACTGCAAGCTCCGCCTCCCGGGTTCACCCCATTCTCCTGCCTCAGCCTCCCGAGTAGCTGGGACTACCGGTGCCCGCCACCGCGCCTGGCTAATTTTTTGTATTTTTAGTAGAGACAGGGTTTCACCGTGTTAGCCAGGATGGTCTCCATCTCCTGACCTCGTGATCCATCCGCCTCGGCCTCCCAAAGTGCTGGGATTCCAGACATGAGCCAACGCGCCCGGCCTCAATTAATTTTTAAAGCTTCCCAAAAGAGGATAAAAGAGGAGGAAAGGAATAGAAAAAAAAGCAGTGATAGGGACCCACCTTCAGACACTTAAGACATTATCGCTGTAAAAAGCAAGGGTCTTCCCTCTGCAAGAAGAGGCACTAAATGTTTAGATTCAGGAAAACCCACTGTGACATATATACATGCAAAAGATAACTCTTACAGCTGGTATAAACAATTATTTGGGCCTTGAAATTCTTATCAAGTAACATGTTTAAAAGCCAGACTTTATTAATCCTCAAAGAACAGAAATGTAGAAAACAGCATTTACAATGAGCCAAAAACTCTCTCTTTTTAGATTGCAAGACAGGTATCTCTTCATGAAGCTTTCTCCAATTTTTGTTCTCAGGCACCACTCAAATGAACAATCTTGTTCATGTCAAAAAGGTCCCCAAAATAGCCACTGCAGTTCAAAATTATCCTGTGAAATTGGCTAGGCATGGTAGCTCACATCTGTAATCCTAGCACTGAGGTGGGCAGATTGCCTGAGATCAGGAGTTTGAGACCAGCCTGGGCAACACAGTGAGACCCCCCCCGCCCACCATCTCTACTAAAATACAAAAAATTATCCAGGCATAGTGGCATACGCCTGTAGTCCCAGCTACTCGGGAGGCTGAGGCATGAGAATTGCTTGCACCCGGGGGTGGAGTTCGCAGTGAGCCAAGATCACGCTGCTGCACTTCAGCCTGGGAAACAGAGCAAGACTCTGTCTCAAAAAAAAAAAAAAAAAAAAAAATTATCCCGTGAAATTCTGCCAGTTAAAGACACAAGCATGTCAGTTAAGGTGATGTGAGAAAGCAGGTATTTGTTTCATAGAAAATGCCCAGTTTTAGGATGGATCAGACACTATGAGCACTGCAATAGATCCTCCCACACGATGGTGCCCGTGCAGCCTACTTTCGTCAGGACTTGGCCAAAGCCCATTCCAGGGTCAGACAATCCCTTCTGATTTCAAGAAGCCTAATCTAAACAAAGCAGCTCTCAGGAAAAGAACAAGACCGACGAAAAAGTTCTTCTAAGGGTTCGAAATCATGACCCAAGTCAAAGTTTATTCAAAGAATGTTGATTGTAGGAGAACTTCTGAACTCCTAGGCCCCTGAGCCAGCTCAAGAACTGACTTACCTGGCTTATGCTCATTGTCTCCCTAGAGACCTTTTGTTTTAGAGATAAAGAACACTCAAGACACTGTACAAGCAGACAGTCCATAGGAACATATATCTGTAGACTGGTAAACAGTATCACCAAAGAACAATAAAAATCAGATCAGATAACCAAAAAGTCACTGGTAACCTTATTCCTAGGGGAAGAAAAAAAAAGAGAGGGAGATAGAGAAAAGGAAGGAAGGAAGGAAGGAAGGAAGGAAGGAAGGAAGGAAAAACACCTAAAGTGGAAGGACCTCAGCAGAATATGGAAGCTCAGTTCAGCATGAACTTCTCCTAGCACGGGCAGTGTGGTTACATCAGACAGCTAGAGACACAAAGGGTCTCAAATAAGCACACTAAAATTGGTGAGTGGAGGGTTCCCATCCAAGACTGTAGGGCTCACAGATGAATATTGATGGATCTTCAAATGCAGAGATTAATTACAGCCACTGACCACTAGGAGCCCACCTGTAGTAGAACAAATGTGGGATTCTTCACTCATTGCATCATGGGAGATTGCTCATTATGGAGAACCATAGAGGCATCTCAGTAAGAGGATGCTGGAAAGAGGGTGCTAGAAAGTGCTATTCGGTTTTCAGTAGGTGATTTGGGGAGAGTTAAAAAAAGTAGGGGTTTGTTCTAGATTGGATACTGTCAGGAAGCAGGTAATTCTGTGATTGAATATCTTAATTTTTTTTTATCTTGAAGACAGTAGAGAAAAACAGCTGTAGTTGGTAAAGAAGTAGAAATGATGTGTATTAGGCTGAGAAGGGGTATGTTGGATCATTTTCGTGTTCTGGCCAGTTTTCTTTTTTCAGTGCTGAGACATGTCTCATGGAGTGACCTCTTCTTTGCCTTTCCCCATGAAGGTCACGGAATGACCTTGTCTGATGTTGAGTTCTGTGAAATGGATCACCCCAAACAGAAGCACACATGGCCTGGCTGTGAGTTCCCAAACAGCTCCCCACGCTCAAGAGCTGCTTTTCTTTCTCATTCTCAATTAAGGATTGAAGGAGGACACAAAAACACGATCACCAAAGGAAAATGAAACAAATTTAAAGTAAATAAAACTCAGCAAAAAGAAAAACTACAGGAAAAGAAAAGTAACTGTAGGAAACAATAATGACTTAGCCCTAAATGGCATTTACGTGGTCTTAATCATATGTGACCTTAATCCTATAAAAACCAAATTGTGATCTAACTCCAAGTCCAACCTGCCTATTTTAGAAGGGTAGTTGGATGGTGCTAGTGGATGGTGGGGAGGAGAGTAGAAGCTAACTCATCATCATCCGTATTGGTAAGTGAATAGATAATGCCTAAAAACATGTCATGAAATTGCAATGTCACCACATCATTTGGAGATACGTTTTTAAGTCAGCCTAAAGGGTTGAAAATGCTTCTAGGCTGGGGCAACGGGAGGGCAGAGCATAGAAGATGGTAATGATTCCTGACCATCCTTCAAGAACTATCTTTCTAATTTTTTCCATCTTCTCCTCCCTGCTTTATTCTAGCCACACTGGCAGCTGATTAGATGGTGCCCACCCAGATTGAGGGTGGGTCTGCCTCTCCCAGCCCACTGACTCAAATGCTAATTTCCTTTGGCAACACCCTCACAGACACACCCAGGAACAATACTTTACATCCAACCAAGTTCCAAGGATTGGAACAATACAATCAAGTTGACACTGAATATTAACCATCACACACAGACATATATACATATATATATATTTTTTAGACAGGGTCTCACTCTGTCACCCAGGCTGGAGTCGAGTGGTACAATCATGGCTTACTGCAGCCTGAAGCCTCAACCTCCTCAGCTCAGGTGATCCTCCCACCTCAGCCTCCCAAGTAACTGGGACTACAGGCACACACCACTACACCTTGCTAATTTTTGTATTTTTTGTAAAGATGGGGTCTCACTAAGTTGTCTATGGCTGGTCTCGAACTCCTGGGCTCAAGTGATCCACCCACTGTGGTCTCCTAAAGTAAGTCATGGCACCTGGCCAACTTTTTTTTTTTTTCTTTTTTTTTGAGATGGAGTCTTGCTCTGTCGCCTAGGCTGGAGTGCAGTGGCACGATCTCAGCTCACCACAATCTCTGCCTCCCAGGTTCACGCCTTTCTCCCACCTCAGCCTCCTGAGTAGCTGGGACTACAGGCGCCCACGACCACGCCTGGCTAATGTTTTGTATTTTTAGTAGAGACAGGGCTTCACCGTGTTAGCCAGAATGGTCTCAATCTCCCGACCTTGTGATGTGCCCTCCTCAGCCTCCCAAAATGCTGGTATTACAGATGTGAGCCACCACACCCGGCCCCAACTTTTTAAAAATATTTTTTAAAGAATGAGTAGAAGTAGCCAGGTGAAGAAAAGAAAAGGAAACAGAGCTGGGAAAAGGTGTGTTGCATCAGAAACTAGAGGAGGGCATTTCGCCTGGACCAGAGAAAGTTCTGATGAGCCAGGAAGGCTGGGCAGAGCCAGCTCAGGCCAGGCAGGCGCGATTCTGCACAGGACAGGATGCACCTCCAATGACCACGTGTTTCTAGGTTGTTTCCAAGGGCACACAGATAACAGTCAACGATTTTTTTCTGACTAGCCACTGTAGTGATCGCTGCTGTGTGACCCTCCACACTTTGCTTCCCTCGGGCCTCAGCTCCGCCTCATTCCACTGGCCTAATAATTAACTCAGCCTTATTTTCCCAACCTAATTGTTTCACAGACCAAAAGAAATATTGGATGTAAGGTACAATTTGAAAAGTGTAATGTGCTCTAGAAATGCATAAAATGATGATTAGTCTTTGCCCAGTAGGCTTTTTAGCTTAATAAGCTCCTGATAATACAGAAATCACTGTGAGCAACTGGCAGAGAAAGATTTTTCCATTTCTCTTAACTAAGAAAAGAGATTTAAAGTCACTTTGGAGAGCTAACACTAAATAATAATAACTGCCAAAGGAATTGATTTGATGCTGAATATAGGCTTGTGTAAGGAGGTAAAAAACTGTCCACTAAAGTTAATGCTCATAGTAAGAGGCCTCTGTCCTTGAATTCACCTTGAGAGAGTTGAACAGGGATAACGGATTTTCAAGGACACACATCTACAGAGAAAGGGCGTATGGAAATGGAAAAGGGAAAGCTGCTCCTAGTGTTTTTGCTGAATTGTTCTCTTTCTCTAACCCAGCAGGAGAGATGCTAAAGGAGATTTTGTCAAAGAAAATCCTTGACATTGGATTCTTAAAAGCCTTATGGTTTCATGATAGGCCCTTTACCAAGGATTCTTAAGGGACAACCTTATGTTAGAGAGAAACAAAGTCCTGAATCATATTTCCTCCTCTCTGGAATATATGTAGAAATACAAGTGAGAAGATAAATACATGTGTAAAAAGAAAATTCATACTTTCATACTCGTTATATGTTATGATTAAATGTTGATTGCATTTGGAGAGCATCAGCATATGAACTATATTACAGAAAGGATAGTCTTTTGTTTCATGGCTTAAATCTTCTTTTCTCAATAAGATTAAGGGGCTAGCTAAGATTATAATCATAACAATTTTTTTTTTTTCACTGAGTTTCCACCCTGTGAGGAACACTAGGCTAAGCAGGAAAAAAAAAAAAAAAAGTCACTAAAAGACCCTAGGCTATTTGTACACCAATGTTCATAGCAGCATTATTCACAATAGCAAAAAGGTGGAAAGAACCAAGTGTCCATAGATGGACAGATAAACAAAATGTGGTCTATACGTACAACATGGGTGAACCTTAACATTGTGTTAAGGGAAATAAGCCAGTTACAAAAGGACAAATACTGTATGATTCCATTTCTATGAGATACTTAGAGGAGTTGAAATCATAGACACAGAAAGTCAGATGGTGACTGCCAGGGGCTGGGAGGAGGGACAATGGGGAGTTGTTGTTTAATGGGTATAGAGTTTCAATTTTGCAAGACAAAGAATTTCCAGAGATGGGTGGTGGTGATGGTGCACAACAATGTGAATACACTTAATGCCACTGACTTGTACATTTAAAAGTAGGTTAAAATGGGCCAGGCATGGTGGCTCACACCTGTAATCCCAGCACTTTGGGAGGCCGAGGTGGGTGGATCACGAGGTCAGGAGTTTGAGACCAGCCTGACTAACATGGTGAAACCGCGTCTGTACTAAAAATACAAAAATTGGCTGGGCATGGTGGCATGCGCCTGTAATCCCAGCTACTCAGGAGGCTGAGGCAGGAGAATCACTGGAACCCGGGATGCGGAGGTTGTAGTTAGCCAAGATCATGCCACTTCACTTCAGCCTGGGTGACAAGGCGAGACTCCGTCTAAAAAAAAAAAAAAATATATATATATATATAGGTTAAAATGTCCATTTTATGTTAGGTACATTTTACTGCATAAAAAAAAAAAAGACTATGGGCAAGCCATTTCCTTCCTCTGTGCCTCAGTGACATTATCTGTGAAATAAATGTGTAGAAACAGATGGACTCCAAGGATGCATTCAACTCTGCAAGTCTGTGTGTCTAAACATCCCCTCTGTCCTCATGGGGTTTAGCAGCAAGTTGGAGAGATGAAATGCAGTAATAAAATGTAAAATACTTCTAGTTAATGTTTTAAGTACCCAATTAGTGATTTTTTAAAAAGGAATATGTATTCCCTTGAGAAGGGATAGAGCAGAAATCTGGAGGACAGCTTTGTGGAGATAGAACTGGACCATGCCCACTTCAAGAAGTATGTAGCTCGGATGTGGATCTGTGCCAGTGGGATGGCCTTAACAAAGGTGAGCAGGCTTCACCACACCAGGGGGTCCGTAGAACAGCAAGAAGATGAGCCTGTTGGTGGTAGAAGGCTTCTGCGTCAAAGTGAAGCATTGAGGAGGACCCATGGGTGACTTTGAGGGACTCTGAATGGAAGAGAGTGGATGGACGAGACACCTGGCCTATCCACAAACTGGCCCTATAGCCTTGAATAATCACTGGGACCTCAGTTCCTGCTGTATGACACCAAGGCTAGCTCCTTTACAAGACGGAAGCACAGCCTAGCTGATCTTGCTCTTCCTGCTGGAAAACTCCATGATTCTCTTTGCCTTCCAGGCAACAGACACATAAGATTCCTGCTGCCAGGTCACTGCTGGATGCTGGACTCCAGCAGTGACAGGCCCCGAACCTGCCCTTGTGAAGGCCACTTTCTTAGTGGTGGTGGCTCATCTAGCAGGCTGAGGAATGTACAAAGGATGTGTAAGAAAATCTACCTAGCAGTAGGGTATATAATGAGTTAAAGAACTGAGCTTCTACTGGCAATGAGACCAGCCAGGGTAATGTTGCAAAAGTTTAGATGTACATTAAGACCCAGAAGGGCTGAACTTGGTTAGGGGAGAGGAACATGAAATGAAAAGTCTAATGCATGAACCCTAGAACCACATGAATATTAAAGCTCACACTGAAGTATCTGTGCCTCCTTCTCCCTTGCCCTGCCCTTTTTCAGCCTCCCAAAGCTGCACCCATTCCTCCTGTGTCCCCAATATCCCCTATGCCATGTGATGTGGTTTGACTCTGTGTCCCCACCCAAATCTCATCTCGAACTGTAATCCCCATGTGTCAAGGGGGGACCTGGTGGGAGATGGTTGGATCATGAGGGTGGTTTGCCCCGCGCTGTTCTCAGGATAGTGAGTGAGTTCTCACAAGATCTGATGGTTTTATAAGGGGCTCTTCTCCCTTAGCTTTCGCTTCTCTCGCCTGCCTACTTCCCCTTCCCCATGATTGTAAGTTTCATGAGACCTCCCCAGCCATGTGGAACTGTGAATCAATTAAACCTCTTTCCTTTATAAATTACTCAGTCTCGATTATTCTTTTTTTTTTTTTTTTTTTTTTTGAGATTGAGTCTCTCTCTGTCACCCAGGCTGGAGTGCAGTGGCAGGATCTCGGCTCACTGCAACCTCTGCCTCCCAGGTTCAAGCAATTCTCCTGCCTCAGCTTCCTGAGTAGCTTGGATTACAGGCGCCTACTACTGTGTCTGGCTAATTTTTGTATTTTTAGTAGAGGCAGAGTTTCACATGTTGGCCATAGTTGATCCTGATCTCTCAGGAGATCTGCCCACCTTGGCCTCCCAAAGCACTTGGATTACAGGCATGAGCCTTGGGTATTTCTTTATAGCAGTGTGAAAATGGACTAATACACCATGGTAACTGGGTCCCATACATCCTGAAAATACTAATAGAACAAATATTCCCACTCCTGAAATTTAACTTGATCCTGAAGACGAAGGATTTCCTTGAGCTCATAAATGGAAGTGGTTCATCTTCCAGGTAGAGAATGCAAGGTAGATTGGTTTTGTTCACAGGGGTCATGCAGAGCTAAGCACATAGAAGGTGCTCAGTAAGCACCTGCTGAACATACTGAAGTGACATAGCCAGGCAGAGACGGGTAGGTGGACAGCCAACACGCCATGAGAGCTGGAAGGGCGCATCCTCTCTTAGGAGCTTGGGCCCTGGCCAGCTGACTCAGCTTCAAGCTCTGCTAGTACATAAGTCCCTCGGGGCCTATAAGCTTGGCCGTGTTGCAGCTGAAATTTCTGCTGAATAAGGTCATACATACTAAGCTGAGAATGCAATAGTGAGAATGGCTCCTTCTTTTTCGCATCCCAGACCCCAGAATAGAAATATTTACCATCACGTCTGGATGATAATATCAATAAATTATCAGACATTGCACGTATTAAGAAAAGCTCATTTTCTGGAAATTGTCCTTATTGTCCTAATTGGGAATTATCTTGAAGCCGTGGATAGAAAATGACCTTTCAGATTGCTGGGACAAAGCCCAAGTCTAAATTGGAAACGTGTTTAATGGCTAAGACAGCCCACTTCCAGATTAATTATGGATGCTTTTCCATTTCAAGATTACATTAGGAAGGAAAGTTGTCACTGGGTGGAATGTGAGTCTCCACTGCATCCTTTTAAGATAAATAAGTTGAAGTTTGAAGAAAATTTGAGATTACTTTTGGTTAAGTGAATAAAATCTGTTTAGCGAACTCTTTGAAGTTGTGGATTGCCTGGGAATCTACAAATCTGCAACCTCCCTCCCTCTAGATACATTCAGAGGGTAGAAGAGAAGTCATTTAAAACCTTATGCTTGACTTCTTGCTTCCTGCCTTGGTTTTTAACCAAAACTAAAAATAAAAAAGCCAAAAGAGAGGAAACTTGATAGGTTCAAAACAGGAAATTAGATTGTAAGCAAAGAAATTGTCCAAACATCGAAAAAAGGAACACATCAAAGAAGGGAGGTGCTTTGTTTTTATACTTTGTTATCGTCCTGGAAAAAAATGTCTGCTGCCTCTGATAATACATATTAACACTTCTTTTTTACTTAGCTTTTATTTTTATCAAAGTAATAAAATCATCTTGTTTAAAGTGTCAAATAGTTCTATATGGCTTATTAGGATAAACAACCATCCAATTTTCAAGATTTTTTTTTCCTTTGGCATTTGTCTTTAATTCTCTAAATATATTCACCTGCTACTTGAGGGGTCAGCAGACTTTTCCTGTAAAGAGCAAAACAATGAGTATTTTAGGCTTTGAGAGCCATAGAGTCTCTGTTGCAGTTACTCACCTCTGCTGTTGTAGCACAAAAGCAGCTGTGGGCAATATGTAAATGAGTGGGTGTAGCTGGGTGCTGAAAAAACTTTATCTACAAACACAGGTGGCTGCACAGTGGGCTGTCCTTTACCGTCTCCTAGGCTACTCCTTGAGTTTCTGTTTTTAGTCAGTCACTGTTAGGTGACTCCTGACTATGGAAGATGAGGATTAGGCTCTTTCACAGCCAACAACTCTCCTCCATGGCCTCCTCCCCTCCATGTTTTTCCTTTACCTTCACCCTTCCAATAGGATGGTTTACTGGCTTTGGATAGATCCGTATGCAGTGTTTACATCATCATGCTTTTCATAACTGAACCATATAATAGAGCTGTGTTTCCAGCCAGGCATGGTGGTTCATTCCTATAATCCCAGTGCTTTGGGAGGCACAGGTGAGGGATTGCTTGAGGCCAGGAGTTCAAGATCAACCTGGGCAACATAGTGTGAGATCCTGTCTCTACAAAAAAAAAAAAAAAAGACATTAACTTGGTATTATGGTGCACACCTGTAGTCCCAGCTACTTGGGAGGCTGAAGTGGGAGGATCACTTGAGCCCAGGAATTGGAGACTGCAGCGAGCTATGATAGCAACACTGCACTCCAGCCTGGGTGAAAGACCAAGGCCCTGTCTCAAAAAAAAAAAAAAAAAAAAAAAAAAAAAAGTTTCCTTTCCTACACACTATTTTGTTTTCCTTAATCATTATATTGTTTTCTTCATTTGCTTAATTTTTTGTGAACTAATTATGAATTGAAACTCAAGCTCTCTCTCAATTTTAAAATCTTCCCTCAACATATTGCAGCCAATATAAGAGGAACTCACCATTTCATTTTCTTGGAAACTTCTACCCCAGAGCATTCTGGCTGGATAGGCCTTGGGCATCTGTATTAGTCTGTCTTCCTTCTGCTATAAAGAACTACATGAGACTGGGTAATTTATGAAGAAAAGAGGTTTAATTGACTCGCAGTTCTGCAGGGTTAACAGGAAGTCTGGCTAAGACGCCTCAGGAAACTTATAATCACAGCAGAAGGTGAAGGGGAAGTAAGCATGTCTTACCTCTGCAAAGCAGGAGAAAGCGAGTGAGCTGGGATCTGCCACATACTTTTAAACCATCAGATCTCTTGAGAACCCACTCACACTATCATGAGAACAGCAAGGGAGAAATCCGCCCCCATGATCCAATCATCTCCCACCAGGACCCTCCCCTGACACATGGGATTACAATTCAAGGTGAGATTTGCGGGGGGGACACAGAGCCAAGCCGTATCACCATCCTTGCATCTCTCTTCTCCATCATCATAGATAACCTGGGCCTCCGGATGGCATGAGATCCCCCTCCTACCCGGCTTCCATGACTTTCTCTTTGTTGATCTAGTCCCTTTTTTAAAAATGGAGCCATCCTTCTGTAGCTTCCTGAGAAAGAATGAACGGGAATCACATTTTCTGAAACATTGCAAGTCTGAAAATGTCTTTATTCTCCCTCATGCTTAATTGAAATCAGACTGAATACAGAATTCTCATTTAGAAATTATTTCCCTTCACAAGTTTGAAGGAATTTGTCTATTGTCAATAGTATTGCTCTCAAGAAATTCAATGCCATTTTCATTCTCAATTCTTTATTTGAACTCGGTGTTTTTCTCTCTGGAAGATTTTAGGTTCTTATTCTTCTTTGTTTTCTGAAATCTCATGAATATTATTTGATGTGGGTCTATTTTGACTCTTTCTGTTGG
Source organism: Homo sapiens (assembly GCF_000001405.40). Classification (NCBI taxonomy): domain Eukaryota; kingdom Metazoa; phylum Chordata; class Mammalia; order Primates; family Hominidae; genus Homo; species Homo sapiens. The sequence continues at coordinate 91,446 of NT_187564.1, forward strand.
AACACACATGGGGCCTTTTAATCTGGAAAGCCGTTCTTGAACTCTAGGAATAGATTTTGGGGGACAATTTCTTCTTTCATTTCCTGTTCTCTCTTCCCAGAATTTGTTATTCAGCTATCAGACCCCATGGACTGATCTGTTATTTTCTTATATTTTCTTTCATTTGTTCAATTTCTTTGGCTGTTGTTTCCCCTATTCTCTGAACAATGTTCTCAAATTTACATTTCATAAACTCTCATTGAGTTTTTCACTTCTTTTTTTATGTTCTGAATTTCCAAGAGCTCTATTTTTTGTTCTTTGAATGTTCCTTTTTTTAAATCATCTGTTCTCATTTCATGAAAGCAATATGTTATCTCTCAGAAGGTATTAATGACGGTTTTCTCCCAAGTGTTTCTTTTCCTACTCAGCCTCTTTTTCCTTCAAGTAGCTTTCTTTGGTTGGTTGGTTGGTGTGTGTGTGTGTGTGTGTATATGTGTATTTTCGTTTGTTTTTCTTTTTTCTTCTCCTGTGTTTGAGACATGTCCTCAAATGCCTGGTTCCCCTTTAGCTGACACCCACATTTAAGATTGAGGCACTACAAATATGACTGAAAGTTCTGTGCACACAAATGGGGCCTGTCACCCGTGGGCTTCAGTGGCTGAGTTGTTTCATCGGGAAGCCCCTGATGTTGCATCACTGAGATTTTTGTCTTGGGCTGATTGAAAGCTCCAGAGAAGAATTTTCTGCCCTGTTGCCTGGAGGGTAGACACCTGGCTGTCACTGTTCTCACAGCTAAGAAGGAAGAGGACTGCGAGGTTCAAGATTCAGTGTGTAAATGTTGACTGAAGATCCCTGTTTTCAGTACAGAGCCCCTGCCGTCCTATGCCTAGAGTCCTCCAACTGAGAGTCTCTGTGTCCTTCCCAGAGAATACATCGTTCCTCTTCTGCCAGAGTGAGGGGAGGACAGATGCCTGGGGTAGGGATCTGGGGATATAAATGTTCTTCACGAGCTTCCAGTGAGTTCTTCTGTTTTTAGCTTCACATAAACACACATATCCAGTGGAAACTCTTGCCATCAACTGCACAAATAATGGGCGGCTTTGCAGTGCCAACCGGGCTACTTCTCAGCACTCTCCACCTCAGTGCAAGCATCTGTCCTTGGATATGCTGCCACTTAAGATGGTTCTGCTGTTTTTCAGCTCTAAAAAGGTTGTTATCATCCCCTGCCTCATGATTTGTTCTTACACCTTCGTATATCTTAACACTTCATTCCCCTTTTCACGGGCTTTATGAAGAAGCAGTGGTAAATGTAGGTGCTCAATCCACCATCTTTAATGGGAATCCTTCAGCACTTCTATTTTAGAAAAAATGTGAAGAATATACATAGAGACTGGGCATGGTAGCGCATGCCGGTAATCCCAGCAATTTGGGAGGCGGAGGTGGGCAGATCACCTGAGTTCCGGAGTTTGAGATCAGCCTGGGCAACATGACAAAACCCACCCATCTCTACAAAAAAAACACAAAAATTGCCCAGGCATCGTGGCACACACCTGTAGTCCCAGCTAATGGGGATGCTGAGGCAGGAGAATTGCTTGAGCCTGGGAGATGGAGGTTGCAGTGAGCTGAGATCACACCACTGCACTCTAACCTGTTTGACAGAGTGAGACCCTGTCTCAAAAAAAAGAATATACTAAACACTCATTTCACAATATTCTTGACTTATTAAAGCTGGAGTCATGGCATAATTTCCAATTTGCTTTTCAAAAGAATTAATTGATCAGCTAAGAAATTTACAAGTAATTTTTTTCAAATAGTGAGGTCCCTTAGTATTAAAATGAATTTCATGTTTTAATACTAGGTTTTTCCTCCCACGCAGTGAATTTTCTTCTTGCTTTAAGAAGAAATGCTCTGGAGAGAATATAAAATTATATATAGTTGTGTATGAATTATATGTCATAGGATTACATATAATTATATGTAAATATAATTACAATTATAACATTAATACATGTTCACTGCAGAAAACTTGGAAAAAAACAAAGAGTTTAAGAGAAACTTCATAATCAACTGTATTCTCAACAACTACAGAAAGCTTAACCAATGATTTGTCCGTATCCATGGCTAAGAACGAATGTACCTACACATCTGTGCCATTTTTAAATTGGCATTTTTTAAAAAGTAGATCCAATTTTAGAAGTTTGAAATCTAGTTTAAAAGCCTAGATTTTATTTTTTTCCATTTTAACCTATTTATGTATTTATTTATTTATTTATTTATTTATTTATTTATTTATTATACTTTAAGTTCTGGGGTACATGTACGGAACGTGCAGTTTTGTTACATAGGTATACACGTGCCATGGTGGTTTGCTGTACCCATCAACCTGTCATCTACATTAGGTATTTCTCCTAATGCTATCCCTCCCCTAGCCCTCCCACCCCCCAATAGGCCCCGGTGTGTGATGTCCCCCTCCCTATGTCCATGTGTTCTCATTGTTCAGCTCCCACCTGTGAGTGAGAACATGCAGTGTTTGGTTTTCTGTTCTTGGGTTAGTTTGCTGAGAATGATGGTTTCCAGCTTCATCCAAGTCCCTGCAAAGGACGTGAACTCATCCTTTTTTATGGCTGCATAGTGTTCCATGGTGTATATGTGCCACATTTTCTTTATCCATTCTATCATTGATGGGCATTTGGGTTGGTTCCAACTCTTTGCTATTGTGAATAGTGCCGCAATAAACATACATGTGCATGTGTCTTTATAGTAGAATGACTTATAATCCTTTGGGTATATAGCCAGTAATGGGATTGCTGGGTCAAATGGTATTTCTGGTTCTAGATTCTTGAGGAATCTCCACAAAGCCTAGATTTTCTAGAGGAATTCTTCTCTATACAGGGAAACATTGCAGTAATGAGTTTAAGTGCATTGATTCTTTAAGCACATTTGTTTGTTGAATGATAAGACTATTGTATGTAGTTCACATCCAGCCCCCTACACAACTGTCACACACAATGACCTTCACAGTGATTCATGCCTGAACAACATTGTTTCCTTTGCCTTTAGGCTTGCAATTGGGAACTCATTTTATTTGAACCAAAGCCTTCAGTCGAGATGAAAATTTTCACTCACGTCTGTGTGAAGAGACCACCAAACAGGCTTTGTGTGAGCAACAAGGCTGTTTATTTCACCTGGGTGCAGGCGGGCTGAGTCCAAAAAGAGAGTCAGCAAAGGGAGATGGGGTGGGGCCATTTTATAAGATTCGGGTAAGTAAAGGAAAATTACAGTCAAAGGGGGGTTATTCGCTGGTGGCAGGAGTGGGGGTCACAGGGTGCTCAGTAGGGGAGCTTTTGAGCCAGGATGAGCCAGGAGAAGGAATTTCACACGATAATGTCATCAGTTAAGGCATGAACAGGCCATTTTCACTTCTTTTGTGGTGGAATGTCATGAGTTAAGGCAGGAACCGGCCATCTGGATGTATACGTGCAGGTCACAGGGGATATGATGGCTTAGCCTTGGGCTCAGAGGCCTGACATTCCTGTCTTCTTATATTAGTAAGAAAAATAAAATGAAATAGTGGTAAAGTGTTGGGACGGCAAAAATTTTGGGGGGTGGTATGGAGAGATAATGGGCGATGTTTCTTAGGGCTGCTTCGAGCGGGATTAGGGGCGGCATGGGAACCTAGAGTGGGAGAGATTAAGCTGAAGGAAGATTTTGTGGTAAGGGGTGATATTGTGGGGTTGTTAGAAGAAACATTTGTAGTGTAGAATTATTGGTGATGGCCTGGATACGATTTTGTATAAATTGAAAAACTATACGGAATAAGAGAAGGAGAAAAACAGGTATTAAAAGACTAAGAATTGGGAGGACCTAGGACATCTAACTAGAGAGTGTCCAAGGGGGTTCAGCATAATTACTTACTTGGTTGGCAAGTTTTTGGGCTCTATCCTTGAGTTTTTTATGTTGTCATACACCAGGCCAGATTGATTTAGGTAAAAACAACACTCTTCATTTAAGAATATACAGAGTCCTCCTTTTTCAGCAGTGAGTAAGTCAAGGCCTCAGCGGTTTTGGAGGACAACTGCAGCTAAAGAGTCAACTTGGGCCTGGAGGACTGATAAAGTTTGTGATATGTCTGTGATGCTAGCAGAGAAGTCATTAGAGAGGCTACGGAAGGTCGTGACAGAGGTTGAAATGCCTGCTATTCCAGTACCGAGAGCAATAGTAGAGGCAGAAAGTCCTAAACCGACAAGCAAGGGAATTAGTGGAATAACTCTTTTTTGTCGTGTCGGTGTCATGAGGGGAACAGGGAGCTCTTCGGTCCTATTTGCAAATTGAATTTTGGGGGTAAGGAAGACTAGTGTGCATGTGCCTGTCCAATTAGCAGGTAGACACATGTAGGTAGAGGATCCACAGACGAAGAGACCTTGTGCGAGGCAAAACTGGAGATGCAAAGTAAAGAGAAGCAGTGCTGAAAGGGGTGTCTTGTACCCAGACTCCTAGGTATCCAGCTAGGGTGGCAGCCGTCAGAGGTTGTAATGGGGATTGATGAAGTAACTGCGTAGAGGGGGAGGTTCGATTTACATGGTGTGTGAGAAAACGTTGAGTATCTACGAGCAACCTTTCACTGTTATTTTCGGGGCTGGGTATAAGTAAACAAGAAGAGGGCTTTGGAGATGAAGAGTAAAGGAACATCGAGAAGGTGAAAGATTACCTAAGGGAATTCCAGTAGGTCTTTGCTGAGAGATACATAAAGGAGCGGCCACAGGAATAGTAGTTTGTGTTGTGAGAGGTCTAAATATGGGGGGAGTAGAGTTGATATAAGGAGAAAGGTTTTTCAAGTAAGTGTGGAGGAGGGTGGCAGCTTGCTGATGTGAAATGTCTGGGGAGGTCTTGCTGGACCTGTCTAGAAAGTAAATGAGTTCTTCAGGAGGGTAAAAGTGAGGGCTGTTAAAGGAAGTCTGGAGGTGTAGGGAGACAGGAGGTGTTGCCTAGTCTGCATGTAAGGTGGGGACAACTGTGTAGGCCCTGGAAGAAAGGGAAATGCAAAGCCAGTGGTTGTTTGCTAAGGAGGGATTAGAAACGGCTAGGAGAGAATGAGTAAGGTTGATAGCGTGGTGGAGATAGCTGGGGAGAGGTAGAGGGTGGCAGAGGAATGGGAATGAGAATAAAAGTGAGTATAAAAGTAAAGAATAGAACTTCGTCAGGGTGAAAGTACTGGAGGGTCCCCTGCCAGCAAAGATCATCTATCCACTCTAAGAGGGAGTTAAGAGTTGCCAGTCCTGGGCGGGGGCAAATCCTCGAGCTTGATGTGTAGGGAAGGGAGGGGGCCTGAATAATCCCTGAAGAGTAGCAGAATAGCAGATGGAAGAAGTTACTTCCTTGAGGATAGATTTCCACGATGGAAAGAAAATGAGAGGTTCTAAGAGGCAGGCTAGTGGCTTGTACTATAGCATAGCCTGCCTTTGCTGGTGTGTGGCGATTAGGCCTGGTGGAACTGCCATCAATAAACCAAGTGTGTTCAGGGTGAGGAACAGGAAAGAAGGAAATACGGGGAAATGGGGTGAATGTCAAGTGGATCAGAGAGATACAGTCATAGGGGTCAGGTGTGGTATCTGGAATACTGTGTGAGGCCGGATTGAAGTCTGGGCCAGGAACAATGGTAATTGTGGGAGATTCAACAAAGAGTGAGTACACCTGAAGGAGCCGGGGAGCAGAAAGTATATGCATCAGGTGGGAGAAAGAAAATAGATCTTGGAAGTTATGAGAACTGTAGACAGTGAGTTTAACACAGTTTGTGATTTTTTGGGCCTCTAAAAGTATTAAAGCAGTGGCAGCAGCTGCATGCAGACATGAGGGCTAGGCTAAAACAGTAAGGTCATAGTTGTTTGGACAGAAAGGCTACAGGGTGCTGTCCCGGCTCTTGTGTAAGAATTCTGACCGCACTAACCATGCCTAGGAAGGAAAGGAATTGTTGTTTTGTAGAAGGGATTGGGGTTTGGGAGATTAGCCAGACACGATCAGCAGGGAAAGCACGTGTGTTTTTATGATAATTATGCTGAGACAGGTAACAGATGAGGAAGAAATTTGGGCTTGACTGAAGTAATGGGAGCTGTCTGTGAAGCCTTGCGGCAGTACAGCCCAGGTAATTTGCTGAGCCTGATGGGTGTGAGGGTCAGTCCAAGTGAAAGCAAAGAGAGGCTGGGATGAAGGGTGCAAAGGAATAGTAAAGAAAGCATGTTTGAGATCCAGAACAGAATAATGGGTTGTGGAGGGAAGTATTGAGGATAGGAGAGTATATGGGTTTGGCACCACAGGGTGGATAGGCAAAACAATTTGGTTGATAAGGCGCAGATCCTGAACTAACCTGTAAGCCTTGTCTGGTTTTAGGACAGGTAAAATGGGGGAATTGTAAGGGGAGTTTATAGGCTTTAAAAGGCCATGCTGTAACAGGCAAGTGATAACAGACTTTAATCCTTTTAAAGCATGCTGTGGGATGGGATATTGGCATTGAGGGGGTAAGGGTGATTAGGTTTTAATGGGATGGTAAGGGGTGCATGATCGGTCGCTAAGGAGGGAGTAGTGGTGTCCTATACTTGTGGGTTAAGGTGGGGAGATACAAGTGGGGGGGATGTGAAGGAGGCGTTGAACTGGGGGAAAAGGTGGCAATGAGGTGTGGCTGTAGCCCAGGAATAGTCAGGGAAGCAGATAATTTAGTTAAAGTGTCTCGGCCTAATAAGGGAACTGGGCAGGTTGGGGATAACTAAAAAGGAGTGCTTAAAAGAGTATTGTCTAAGTTGGCACCAGAGTTGGGGAGTTTTAAGAGGTTTAGAAGCCTGGCCATCAATACCCACAACAGTTACGGAGGCAAGGGAAACAGGCCCTTGAAAAGAAGGTAATGTGGAGTGGGTAGCCTCCATATTGATTAAGAAGGGGACAGACTTGCTCTCCACTGTGAGAATTACCAGAAGATCGGCATCCGTGATAGTCTAGGGGGCTTCCGAGGTGATCGGGCAGCGTCCGTCTTCAGCCACTAAGCCAAGAAGATCTGGGAAGGAGTCAGAGAGCCTTAGGCCAGAGTTCCAGGGGCTCTGGGAGTGGCTGCCAGGTGAGTTGAACAGTCCGATTTTCAGTGGGGTCCCGCACAGATGGGACATGGCTTAGGAGGAATCCTGGGCTGCGGGCATTCCTTGGCCCAGTGGCCAGATTTCCAGCACTTGTAGCAAGCTCCCGGGGGAGAAGGTTCTGGAGGAATCCCTGGCAGCTGCAGTTCAGGCGTTTGGAGTTCTTGTGTGCTGGAGATATGGCTGGGGTTTGTCTCACAGTGGAGGCAAGGAATTGCAACTCAGAAATACATTGCTACTTGGCTGCCTCTACTCTATTATTGTACACCTTGAAGGCAAGGTTAATTAAGTCCTGTTGTGGGGTCTGAGCACCGGAATTTAATTTTTGGAGTTTATTTAATGTCGGGAGCAGATTGGGTAATAAAATGTATATTGAGAATAAGACGGCCTTTTGACCTTTTAGGGTCTAGGGCTATAAAGCGTCTCAGGGTTGCTGCCAAACAAGCCATGAACTGGACTGGGTTTTTATATTTGATGAAAAAGAGCCTAAATGCTATCTGATTTGGGATAAGGAAAAGGAGCATTAACCTTGACTATGCCTTTAGCTCCAGCCACCTTTTTAAGAGGAAATTGCTGGGCAGGTTGGGGAGAGCTTGTCACTGAACGAAACTGTAAGCCGGACTGGGTGTGAGGAGGGGAGATGATAAAAGGATTGTAGGGTGGAGGAGTGGAGGCTGAGGAAGAATTGGAACCTAGCTCGACCTGGCAAGGAGGGGAGAGGTCAGATGGGTCTGTAGAAAAGGAAGATTAGAAAGACTCAGCGACACTTGGGGTTGGGACTAAGGGGACAGGTGGGAGGGAAAGAAGGAAGATTTGGGACAAGTTGCATTGGGAACAGAGACTAGGGAGGGACCGATGTGTAAAAGAGTGCCTGGATGTCAGGCACCTCAGACCATTTGCCTATTTTATGACAAGAATTATTTAGATCTTGTAGGATGGAAAAATTGAAAGTGCCATTTTCTGGCTATTTGGAACCACTGTCAAGTTTGTACTGGGGTCAAGCGGCATTGCAGAAGAAAATAAGGCATTTAGGTTTTAGGTCAGGTGTGAGTTGAAGAGGTTTTAGGTTTTTAAGAACACAGGCTAAGGGAGAAGAAGGGGGAATGGAGGGTGGAAGCTTGCCCATAGTGAAGGAGGCAAGCCCAGAGAAAAGAGCAAGTAGAGACATGGAGAGAAGGGGTCGGGGGGTTCTTGCCCCCTAGAAAAGCGGTACTTGCCGCTGAGGGTGAAGGAGAAGGAGTTGGGGGGTTCTTGCCCCCCAGAAAAGCAGAGAAGGGGTAGAGACATGGAGAGAAGGGGTTAGGGGGTTCTTGCCCTCCAGAAAAGCGGTACTTGCCACTAAGGGTGAAGGACCAAGGCAGGCGTCCCCGTGTGGTCAGATGCCTCTGAAATGTGGGTGAATAATCAGGCAGGCGTCCCCATGTGATTAAACACCAAGGGAAGACTGTCTTCCCCAGTCCGTGACCGGTGCCGGAGTTTTGGGTCCACAGATAAAACGTGTCTCCTTCGTCTCTACCAGAAAAGGAAAGGAACTGAAATTAAGAGAAGGGAGAGATTGAAGTGTGGCACCAAGATTGAAAGGAGAAAGAGGTTGAGGGATAGTGAGAGAGGTTGGAGAAGAGAGTAAAAAGAGGCCGCTTACTGGATTTAAAATTGGTGAGATGTTCCTTGGGCTGGTTGGTCTGAGGACCAGAGGTCGTAGGTGGATCTTTCTCACAGACCAAAGAGCAGGAGGACAGGGGATTGATCTCCTAAGGAAGATCCCCTGATTCGAGTCACAGCACCAAATTTCACTTGCGTCCATGTGAAGAGACCACCAAACAGGCTTTGTGTGAGCAACAAGGCTGTTTATTTCACCTGGGTGCAGGCAGGCTGAGTCCAAAAAGAGAGTCAGCAAAGGGAGATAGGGGTGAGGCCGTTTTATAAGATTTGGGTAGGTAAAGGAAAATTACAGTCAAAGGGGGGTTGTTCTCTGGCGGGCAGGAGTGGGGGTCACAGGGTGCTCAGTAGGGGAGCTTTTGAGCCAGGATGAGCCAGGAGAAGGAATTTCACAAGATAATGTCATCAGTTAAGGCAGGAACAGGCCATTTTCACTTCTTTTGTAGTGGAATGTCATGAGTTAAGGCAGGAACCGGCCATCTGGATGTGTACATGCAGGTCACAGGAAATGATGGCTTAGCTTGGGCTCAGAGGCCTGACAAAAATGTTGTTAATTGCTCTGGTTATAGACAGAATAGTAGCAGGAATAAATAATCAGAAACATTTATGGATTATATCTTTGTTGATATTTTAAACCTATCAGTTACCTTTCTAGCCTAATGAGAATGCCTTGATAAAGCCACATTCTTGGAAATTTTGGTTTTCATAAATGTGCTTGGGTTTTATAAGTCCTGCTTTGCCTACCACTTGACCAAATTCCCTACAGACTTTTTTATATAAACACCTATGGTTAAGACAAAATGTGTTCTTTCAACAATGTACAGCTTCTGAGAGTAATGTCTAGGCTGGAGTATATTCATATATATTATTTATGCTTTCATTTAACAAACACATGCTGAGATCCTACTTTTTGCCGGACTTAGTACTGATTGCTCTCTCCTGAGCATCCTTCTTAAGTCAAAGAGAATATTCATTGTTAGGGAAGGAAAAAAAGATAGAGGGAAAAAAAATAGATGGCAAGAACATGGCAGGAACCCAGTCCTGAACACCCAGGGGTTTTCAGAATAAGGGAGAGGTTAACAATCTACATAGAGCAACTGGGATTAAAAATGGGAAGCTGGCTTCATGGGGGGAGGAATAGCATTAGGAGATATACCTAATGTAAATGACAAGTTAATGGGTGCAGCACACCAACATAGCACATGTATACATATGTAACAAACCTGCACGTTGTGCACATGTACCTTAGAACTTAAAGTATAATAAAAATATATTAAAAAAAAAAGAAATGGGAAGCTGGCTGCCAAGACTGCAGGAAGACTGTGTCAGATTCAGAGCATGACCATCAGCAAGGTAAATCCCTACTGCCCACAGTCATAATTGGCACCAGACTCTAGGAAGGAATTATATATTTACGTGGTGCCTAATGGGGATGTGAGGATCTCAGAGGGAGAAAACTAGGTAGGCACAAATAATACCCGCACAGGCCTTATTTACACCTATTTTATGCAAAGTTCTAATAGAAATCATTAACTGGTTTCCTAGCCCTTGCAAGATCCAACACAAATTAGTAGAATGTTCTAGAAGGAATAGAAGTAAAAATATCAATCACAGTAAGAACAGGCAGCTAGATGCATATTGGCAAGAGGGCAGATAAATAGAAAGATGTGAGAAGTCAAAAATCCTATTGCGATCTCATTTTGCAGGGAACCAAAGATCCCAAATAGCTCTCTCTGGAGGCACCAGTGTATATATTATTAAAGACTCAGCGAGAAAAGACAATTCACTTTAAGACAGCAAATAAACAAATAAACAATGTGGAGCTGCCATTCCCAATCCATTTATCTGGAATAGTTCAGCCTCATTTGGCAATCTGTATTTTTTCTGAAGCCCCACGGGGTCATTAAAAACTCCATAGGTCCCAAATGTATTTGCATAATGATAGATGCCATCCCCCTGCCTGACAGTAAAGAAGCAGCAATTTAAAAAGTATGATGCCAGCCAGGCACAGTGGCTCTCGCCTGTAATCCCAGCACTTTGGGAGGCCGAGGTGGGCAGATCACCTGAGGTCAGGAGTTTGAGACCATCCTGACCAACATGGTGAAACTCTGTCTCTACAAAAAATACAGAATTAGCCAGGCGTGGTGGCACATGCCAGTAATCCCAGCTACTCGGGAGACTGAGGCAGGAGAATTACTTGAACCCAGGAGGCAGAGTTTGCAATGGGCTGAGATCATGCCATTGCACTTCAGCCTGGGCAACAAGAATGAAACTCCATCTCAAAAAAAAAAAATTCATGGTATTATTCTTTTGAGGAAGCATACTAGAAATCAAGAATCAGGCCAAGTGCTGAGGCTCATGCCTGTAATCCTAATGCTTTGGAAGGCTGAGATGGGAGGGCTACTTGAGGCCAGGAGTTCAAGATCAGCCTGGGCAGGACAGCAAGACTCCAGTCTCCAAAAAAATATTTTTAATTAAAAAAGGACCAGTCTTATTAAAGTAAACTGCAGTCCTGTTACTGATCTTAGTATCAAAGCAATGTTAGAGCCCACGTGGGATTCACACCTCCTAGAGTTCACAGCACAAGTTTGCTGTAACAGTAGATAAGGTCTTGGTTGCCCTGAGCTCATTTCTTTTTTTTTTTTAGACGGAGTCTTGCTCTTTCGCCCAGGCTGAAGTGCAGTGGTGCGATCTCGGCTCACTGCAAGCTCCGCCTCCCGGGTTCATGCCATTGTCCTGCCTCAGCCTCCTGAGTAGCTGGAACTACAGGCACCACGCCCGGCTAATTTTTTGTATTTTTAGTAGAGACGGGGATTCACCATGGTCTCAATCTCCTGACCTCGTGATCCGCCTAACTCGGCCTCCCAAAGTGCTGGGATTACAGGCGTGAGCCTCCGTGCCCGGCCCTGCCCTGAGCTCATTTCTAAATCCATCTTCCTCCAAGGTGGTGGCAAGCATGCTTCTTTATCCCGGAGAGATGGCCCTTTCATCAAAGTCTCATTCAGACCCTTCTCCTTTTGGAATGCTTTTCTTGGGAGGTTGGCTGGGATGCCTACTACTCTTGAGGATCTGCCTCTGATAGAGCCTAGATCTTAGAATCAGGAGAGTTTCTTGCAGGCCCATCAGTTACTGTGAAAGATACCTGAGCTAGTTGGCTCACAATCCACATCCATCAAACCGCCCCCTGCAGAGAAGTCACCCGGCTGTCGCCTGCTTGGCTTGCCCTGCCTCTCGCCATTCTCATTTCATTAGCAATGCGAATGTTCACACCCTTCAATGTGCATATGATGGGTGTTAATGAGCATAACACATCTGTGAAGCGTGTGTGATTTTTTTGCCTAATAAATAGGCAGTAAACAAGAGGAAGGGAAGAGCTACTATCTGGGGGCATCTGAGAAAACAAAAAGCAAGCAAGGTATGAGTCAGATTGATTGTTCAGTGAATCCCAAAGGGCCAAAAACTTCCTAAACTGGTTTTGGTGTTTCTCACTAGGTGTTTGGACAGCTTGGAACCTGGATAGTCCCACCTACCCAAAAGCATTCAAATTAGGCATGCTTTTAACAAAGCAGGTGGCATGGCATGTAAATTGTAGGAACACTGTTAACCTTTGCAAATGAGTTTCGTGGTCCGAATGGATAATTACATATTTCCCTCCATTAGGAGCTACAAACTCATCAAGATTCTACAACCAACCGGCTCTTGAGTTTCAATCTCCATGTGACAAGGGGATTTATTATGAGAGGGCAGAGAGAAAAGAGGAACACCGCTCTCTTTCTCTGCAATGGAATGATGGTCAGAAAAGAACAGATCAAAGGAATAAACCTGCTCTCCTATTAACTCAGCTTACCAATTCTGGCCTACATTTTCAAAGTTATCAGTAATCAAAACATTGGGAAAGGAATTACAACCTCTTCTCCTGAAAGTTTAACAACTTCCCCATGAAGCACTGCTTTTGATTGCATTACAAGCTATTCCTGAAGAATTTATGACCTAAGATACTCTTTGTCAATGTAGGCCATTTGTCCATGAGTGGAGTGACTGATAAATCAGCTATTAACATAGATAAGAAAGCATATCGATTGAGTCAACTTTGTGTTTAATAATATGCTAGACAGTAATGATGCCTGGAAAATACACTCTGTAATTAAGTACTTTTCCCTTTATATTTCATGAAGACTCTTGTATATTTTATTCTGGCAAAATAGATTGTGACTAACATCTCATAGAAAAGATCATCATATTGTGATCCTATATCTTTATCATAAAAGTGAATTTGAGGGAAATTTTTATAATTTTTCAATATAAAAATTATTAAGATATCAAAACTCTTTGTTTTTTCACTACTCCAAGGTTTATTTCATCATCTTAAAAACCTTGTGAATACAATCAGTCTGCTAGGTCAGGGGTCACCAACCTAGGGCCATGGACACCTACCGTGGCCTGTTAGGAACCAGGCCACACAGCAGGAGGTGAATGGCAGACACGCAATTGAAGCTTCATATGTGTTTACAACTGCTCCCCATGGCTCGCATTACCACCTGAGCTCCACCTTCTGTCAGCTCGGCAGCAACACTAGATTCTCATAGGAGCACAAACCCGATTGTGTACTGTGCATGCGAGGGATCTAGGTTGCACACTCCTTATGAGAATCTAATGCTTGATGATCTGTCAGTATCTCCCATCACCCCTGAGATGGGACCATCTAGTTGCAGGATAACAAGCTCAGGGCTCCCCTTGATTCTGCATTATAGTAAGTTGTATAGTTATTTCATTATATATTACAATGTAATAATAATAATAGAAATAAAGTGCATAATAAATGCAATGTGCTTGAATCATCCCAAAACCATCCCCTACTCCCCTAGTCCACGGAAAAGCTGTCTTCTGCAAGACTGGTCCCTGGTGCCAAAAAGATTGCAGACCACTCTGCTAGGTAGAACTGCATTCTTGTGATTATGTATTTTAATGAGCGCATTTCCTTTTCATATGGAGAAGGGAACCACATTGCCTTAATTCCCCAACTTCTGCCCCAAAGCTTTCTAGGCCAATATGGCTGCATTCGAGTTGCTGATGGCTGTGCTACCCTCCCAGGGCTGATGTACAGTTTCCTGCCTGGGCCGTGTCACCAATCACTAGGGTTTAGGAGGCTATAGTCAGATCTTGCAGAATATGTCAGTCTCATTCTCTGTAGAATTTTTTGTTTGCCTGTTTTTTTCTTCTCTTTGGCACTGGACTATGGGCAGTGGCAGTTAGTGGTAGATCCAGGGTGGAGAGCTGAGACCTAACAAAGAATTTTTTTTTCTTTTTTTTTTTTTTTTTTTTTTTTTGAGATGGGGTCTCCATAGGTCACCCAGGTTGGAGTGCAGTGGCTCAATCTCCACTCATGGCACCCTCCGCCTCCTGGGTTCAAGTGATTCTCATGCCTCAGCCACCCAAGTAGCTGGGATTACAAGCATGCACCACCATACCCGGCTAATTTTTGTATTTTTAGTAGAGATGGGGTTTCATCATGTTGGCCAGGCTGGTCTCAAACTCCTGACCTCAGGTGATCCGCCCGCCTCCGCCTTCCAAAGTGCTGGGATTACAGGCGTGAGCCACCACACCCAGCCAACAAAGAATTTTTAGGTTCCCACTATTCCACCCCACCTGTGCTAGACCCTGTGGTGACAACAAAGGTGAAACAGACATGCTGACTGTCATTAAAACACTGACAATCTAAACTAAGAAAGATGAAAAAAATTAATTGAATACCCAGTGGAAAGTAAGAAGGAATAGTTTTAACCTCCTTAAAATGCTTTTGATTGCATTATAAACTATTCCTGAAGACTTAATGATCCAAGATACTACTTGTCAATGTAGGCTATTCGTCAATGAGTGGAGAGACTGGTAAATTGGCAGTTCATGTGATACATACGCTTTCAGAGTAAAGAGAGGTTTCTTCTAATAATGAGAGGAGCGCCTGGCCAGAGAGACCCAGGAAACATATGCAAATACTAGAAATAGCCCCAAGTAGCAAGTGTGGCTATAGATGGTACACGTGAAGGAGAGTAGTGGGGTTAGACCGTGAAGCCACGAAGAACCAGGTTAAGGAATTTAGACTTTTATTTGGTAGGCAGTGGAGAGATGTTGAATTTTTTTTTCAAACAGTGGAGTACAGTGAGGAAGGCAGGAGACTTTGCAGAAGGAAATCAGGAATTCCAACCAATGTGTTGAGTGTAGGATTCTAAATCCAGCACAAAAAAACCTTCAAAGCAGCAGGGAAAGGGTTTGGCTCTGATTCAGCCTCAGTGGTTATACTGTTGCCATCAGGGAGCTGGGCTTGGGGGTGGACAGAGGCTGGTGGCAGAGGGAGGGATGGAGGGACAGAGCTGAGTTTTTCCAAAGCAGAAGAAGACGGTTTTGCAACCTAGCACACCATCTGGGTCAGATTTATCAAACAAGATTATTTGTTGACAGACCATGGTTATTTCCCATTTAAAGGAAGCAATACATATATTGTATCCAAAATGGCTCCCCAAAAGCAGCGTTGAGCTGATGCAAAAGATCAGTCCATTCTCCCAGCAAAAGAGCAGTCTCTTGACATCCCAGGTAGGAGGGATTCATGTATTTCACAAAATGTGTCCAATGCAATCATCAGGCAAATAATATTTTAATGTTTTCTTGACATGCTGAGAGTAAACTTGCTTCGATGCACTGTCTCCTTCTAGGCACATTACTCTGGAGTAAAAGAAGAGAGGAAAGAGACAGAGGAAAGAAAAAATATGTAATCACATATGAACTGCAAAAGAATTCTAGCTGAGGTTCTTAGAACTATAAATTCTTCTTTTTTTTTTTTTTTCTGAGACGGATTCTCGCTCTGTCACCCAGGCTAGAGTGTGGAGTGCAATGGCGTGATCTCAGCTCACTGCAACCTCCACCTCCCAGGTTCAAGAGATTCTCATGCCTCAGCACCCGTCCCCCTCCCCCACCCCAACTAGCTGGGATTACAGGCGCACACCACTGCGTCTGGCTAATTTTTTGTATTTTTAGTAGAAATGGAGGTTTCACCATGTCGGCCAGGCTGCTCTCGAACTCCTAACCTCAGGGGATCCGCCCACCTTGGCCTCCCAAAGTGCTAGTATTATAGGCGTGAGCCACCGCACCCAGCCAAGAACTGTAAATTCTTAAAATTTGGGAGGAACCATCAAGAAAGAAAGCCTAAGCCTTGTAACCATATGCCAACCTACATTGGTCTACTCCCTCTGCCACGCTAGGCATTTCACACTCTCGTACACTCTGAGGGAAACTCGAGAAACAAGTGTAATAAGAAATATTCCCGCTAGAGCATGGCAGCCATAAGCTACCAAATTTTTGTTATAAAATAGAAATATACTTCTAGATGTAAACATGTATATGCTTATATCTAACCTCTCTAGGATAACTTTTGTAAGTGGATTTTAATATAACTAAAACTGGATGCTAAAGAAATAGCCCTCTCTTAAAGTTGTACTTGGGCACGTCTAGGATCAAAAAGTTAATAGTTTTGTCTGTGATCAAGGAGTTAATTTTTTGCTGCAATATGTTTACATCTAACATTCTTTTGAGCTATCCACAATCTGGTTATATATCAGTTTATCCAACCTTATTTCTCCTTTCCTACTTCAAAGACCTCCATTCAAGCCGTTCTCCAAGCTCTTGCCTAAATAAGTAGTTTTGTTTTGTTTTGTTTTGTTGTTTTTTGGGGTTTTTTTTTTTTTTCAAATTTTTTCCTCACTTCTAAGTTTCATTCAGGGACTACCTTTCCCCACTTCCCCTCATCATTCTCTTTTTCTAAAATCTATCCATCCTTCAAAGCCCAGGTTGAAATTTGTCCTCTTCCTGAAATCGCCCCAAAAATGTGCCAAATCATTCAGATCTCTGCCATCTCTGAGTCTTATAAATCAAATTCTTAGTGGCATTCATTTGACTAAGAATAATAAATACATCACTATTGTTATAATCACCATAATACCTGGTGCTGTTGTTAGATGCTTTACCTATGTTACCTCTTATCCAGACAATCCTGTCCTATCACCCCCATTTTACGTGAGAAGAAACCGAGGTTCATAAAGGTTAAATAACTAGTCCAAGTTCACATAGCTAGCAAGTGACAGTCATAATAGTGGTTCAGACCCAGAACCGACTGGCTTAAAAATCCATGGTCCTTCTTCTGTGCCATATGGCTTCCCAATTATGGATTTCTTTTTTTTTTTTTTTTTTTTTTTTTTTTCAGATTGTGATTTAGGTTTATTCTTTTTTTTTTATACTTAAAGTTTTAGGATTTCTTACATTACTTTTTAACAAACGTATTTTGTGCATGATTCTAAGAGGTAGTACACTTTTTTTTTTTAATTGTTTGCCTCATTTTCCCACCATGCCTACTTTTCACTTTGCTGAACCCGTATAGAGTGTCTGGTTAATGTTAGAGAAATTGAATTGAATTCCTGACATTTGGGCCCTTTTCTTGAGTTCCTCTTCTTTGTCCATAGATGAATCATCCCATTACATCTAACTCCGTTGGACAGCTTGCTTCTTCCTCAATTGTATGTGAATAGTTTTCAATCCACTTTACTAAAATCTAATAGTCACCATCTGTGTCTGCTATATAAATGTGAACTCTTGAAAACACTAACATTTGTGGGTCAGAAATTAGAGGACAGTAAAATAAACCACTGGAACTGTGAAGAGGGAGGAGGCGTGAAGAGGCACTCCCCTCTCTGCTGTCTGTGGGTCAACCTTTCCGGCCTGCCTGTTTCTCAAACTGAGTGAGACTTGTCTCTGAAGCCCCATTTTTTTTTTTTTTTTTTTTTTGAGACGGAGTTTCACTCTTGCCCAGGCTGGAGTGCAGTGGTACAATCTCGGCTCACTGCAACCTCCACCTCCTGGGTTCAAGTGATTCTCCTGCCTCAGCCTCCCGAGTAGCTGGGATTATAGGTGCACACCACCACACTCCACTAATTTTTTGTATTTTTAGTAAAGACGGGGTTTTGCCATGTTGGCCAGGCTGGTCTCGAACTCCTGACCTCAGGTGATCCACCCACTTCGGCCCCCCAAAGTGCTAGGATTACAGACATGAGCCACCACACCTGGCCTCTGAAACCCCATTTAATTTTCCAAATGAAGGTGATGTGTCCCAGGCATCATACATAGGCAAGAACCCACAAAGTGGCAGAGGAGCAGGAGCAAAGGGGCCTGGGCACCCCCTGGAAAGTCATCATACAGCTTTACTCAACTGTCACCTTCTCCTGGCCTTCCTTGACCACTGTTTTTAATTGCAAATCCCACTGCATGATGCCCTATCCCTCTTCCCTGACTTATTCTTCTCCATAACTCACATTTTCAAAGCATTCTATGCATTTCACCAAATTGTTTGTGGCCCTTCTCCTCCCACCAGAATGTAATTTCAAGAGAGTAGGGATCTGAGGTCGGGCGCAGCGGCTCATGCCTGTAATCTCAACACTTTAGGAGGCCAAGGCGGTTGGGTCATTTGAGGTCAGGAGTTCGAGACCAGCCTGGCCAACATGGCAAAACCCCATCTCTATTAAAAATACAAAAATTAGCTGGGCATGGTGGCGGGTGCCTGTAATCCCAGCTACCCAGGAGGCTGAGGCAGGAGAATCACTTGAACCTGGGATGTGGTTGCAATGAGCCAAGATCGTGCCACTGCACTCCAGCTTGGGTGACAGAGTAAGACTCCATCTCAAAAAAAAAAAAAGAGTAGGGATTTGGGTCTGTTTTGTACTATGCTAGATACCCAGCACCCATAACAGTGTCAGACACATAGGACATGTATTGAATGAATGAACTGATTTATAAGCAGAATATTTAAGACTGTTGAGAAGCCATACCCATTCTAATCAGGCAGAGCAGAAGGTTAAAAATCCACAACGCTTACTTTTGAGTTGTGTTGAAACCATTGAAAATATCTGTGTCAAACTGATTAATTACCTCGGTTTACAGAATCAGCTTTTTAACATACATAGCAAATTCTATATGCTAGCCAATGGCAAGCCAGATCTCAAGCAAGGCCATTCTTGTAAAATAAATGGACAGATTTTTGTCTTTTCTATTGTATAAGATTCTAAAGCCTTGAAAGCAGTAATATAGAATCTCCTTAAATACAAATTTAAGCATCTTTTCACGTTTATGGCCTCAGTGCCTGTTTATAAAAGTAGTTTTGTAAGAAAAACAGTGTAAGAAAAACATCTAAGAGTAGATGATAAAGACCTATCCTTGTGTGACCTTCAGATGGAAAAGCATAGATTTAATCTGAGATTCCAGAACCCACCTAGTTTTTAACTTCATTTGTTTGTCTAACTTAAGAACGTGAGTCACAACTAACAAAGACCATCTGGTGCTGTTCTTCCCTCCTAGGAGAATGTCTCCAGAAGTAAATAAAGGAGAATCTTGTCCATGCAAGCTACTCTCAGTTCCAATAGAAAACCATTTCAGCATCTAATTCAGAGAGTTGCACAGGAGATGGCCAAAGGCACTATCTGCCATATGTCTGCGTCTCCAGCCCAGCCATGACCCCAAACCAATAGATTTATTTTTAGGTAGTATCATGTAAACATAGAACTTTTTAAACTAGCAAGTTGGGGAAACTTCATGATTAGTCAATCTGCTAGCACATAGCAGAAGCTGGTGGGTGCCTTCCCAGCAGCCAGCTCCTCTTTCTCCTACCTCATAGCACCCCAGTTATTTTCAGGCATCTACCCTCCTCCACACAGCCAAGAACTTCAGGGAGGCTATTTCCTTCCCCAGGCCCAAGGAGCACAGCGTGGAAGGGGAAAGAGAGAGGTTCATGGACGGCTCTACCATGATGCCATGTGTCTGCTAGTAAACTTCTACTGACTGACTGAGCATGCCCCAGGTGAAATACCCTCCAGTACCTCCTTCTGTTTTTGGACTTACCTGTTGTCTTTCTCCAACCTGGAGACTCTCAACCCTTACTGCAAATTACTGCCACGTGGGGAGCTTTTAAAAACCTGCAGACACCCAAGTGCACCCAAGAGAGCCTGTTTCAATGGACCTATGCAAACAGGTTTTTTTTTTTCATTAAGTTCTCTGGGTGATTGTAATGTACAGCCAACAATGAGAAATGTTATACTAATTCCATTACTTTGACCCTGTCTTTGAGATGCTTTGGGAGAGCTTGGCGCTCAGGACCATCTTTGGGGATCTTTTCCATCATCCAGAGGGAAGCTGGATCTTAGAGTCTGGCCTCTCGGTTATGGGTCCTGATGTTTTTTCATTGTGTATGGTTTCCATGATCTGTCCTCTGCAATAAAACAGACATTGCTTTCTATATGTAATTCTACTCATCCTTTTGGGGTCTCTCTTCGTTACCATCTGCCCTTCCATCTTGCCATCTCACTCCTCACTCCCATGATTCTGGACCAAACTAACCAGCATTCCTAATCTAGTCTCTTCTTGAAAGGATTTGAAACGGGGAAGCAGCTCTTCAGGAAAGAAAATAAATAGAGCAAATGGGCCGGGCATGGTGGCTCACGCCTGTAATCCCAGCACTTTCGGAGGCCAAGGCGGGCGGATCATGAGGTCAGGAGATCGAGACCATCTTGGCCAACACGGTGAAACCCCGTCTCTACTAAAAATACAAAAATTAGCCGGGCATGGTGGTGGGCACCTGTAGTCCCAGCTACTCGGGAGGCTGAGGCAGGAGAATGGCGTGAATCAGGGAGATGGAGCTTGCAGTGAGCCGAGATCGTGCCACTGCTCTCCAGCCTGAGCGACAGAGCGAGACCCCGTCTCAAAAAAAAAAAAAAAATAGAGCAAATGGAATGAAGAACCTCTGTAGGGCTGTGTTGATTTAAGGCAGATGTGGGCCACAGTTTTGGTGTTCACACCCAGGTAAACAAGGCAGCTTCCTTCTGCTCATACACGTGCTCCCCTCTGGAAGAGCCAGGTTTGCAACGGGCTCGCAGTGGCTTTCTCATCCTGGCAGCATCCAGTTTCTTGTGGACGTTGCTGCATCCCAACCACCTAGCAGATTACACGAAGGAGTGAAATACCTACCACTGAAAAGAATGAACCCACAGAGAAGGGTGGCCTCACTGCTCCCAGGGGCTGCTGCAGTGGCCCGTGGGCAGCTAGACTGGCCTGCAGGGGACTGACCCTGGTGGACGCCTGAGTCTATGTGCCACCATCTACCCTGTGATAAGTGTAGCTCCGACATGATGTACCTTTGCCTGTTGATTTCCAAGGACAATTATTTTAGCATTTCAAAATTCAGCTCAAGTGCTGGACGACTTCTCCCTGAGTTTTGCTGTTTGCCAGCAGCCTCCTCTTGGCATGCTCCCTTTCCAACATCCTCACTGAACTTGTTACTATTACCACCATGTACTTAGAGAATGCAACTATCAAGTGCTATTGAACACACCTTGTTTTGTAAAAACCCTGTTGTAAATTGCCTCCTTATTCCTCTGTTCCATGGCCAGTCAAATCACACCCTCATGTAAATAGTGACAAAGACATATTACCCAACTTCAAATTCCAGACACCTGAGTCACAGGTGTTGTTACCACTACCCCAAACCACAAAGTGGGATTATGTGTCTCCTAGAACCGTATTATAATAGACACTCACTGTCTTGCAAATTGCTCCTAACTTGGGTAGAATATTTTGTATTTATTACTTTTGAAAATCTATGGGTTTCTATTGCCTGGAAACTCAAGGATTACAGCAGAATTAGAGAATCTGGTCTCTGGATCACAGATCCCCCCACTGCCCTGCACCGCCCCCACCCCTTTCTCATGGAGACCTAATCATCTCCACACTGGATCCACTCACATGGATCTTCTGACCTTGATCCAGAGTTTACAGGTAAAATGTCCACCTGAGGACACTGGTTTCTGTTTTGACAAAGGTAGTTAGGGCCTTGGAAAGTTGTGAAGGAATGGCATATCTCCCAGAACCCTGACTTCCATCAGCATCTTATTCCAGGAGCTCTGAGGAAACCTCTAAGGCACAAGTGTGGAAATAAAGACCACCCAGATGAGAACACGCAGAGGCTATTTATTCAGAGCTTGCTGTAGCAAGAGAGTCAGCCATCGTCACTTGTGCCTGGCAGAGACTCTGAGGCAAGCGGGGAGTGGGAAAGCTTTCAGGTGGAGAGAGGGGAAGGCTGGGGTGTGCCGGGGCTGGAGCTTGTTGGCCCGGGAAAGCTGGAGGAGGGCTGCCTGACACAGGAGGCATCCTGTGTGATTGGTGAGGGGATTATATTTGGCTCCCTCTGGTTGGCCTAAAGTTGGCAGCAGGGACAAAATTAGGGAATCTGGTATCAATTGATCATTTGGGGCCAGCTTCCTGGAATGTCTGCTGCAGATTGTGGGTCAGCGTGCTGTTGTCGCATATGGCCAAGCTGTTGTCTGTCTGTAGATTCCATCTCTTGGTGTTCAATAGGCCTTGGGGCCATGAACTTGTAGGGAGGGTTTTCTCAAGACCTGGGTTATGGAACCAGCATTGAGGTTCACAGAACTCACATCCACCCTCAAATCAGGGCTGGGTCACAGACAGTTTATTCAAGTGCTCCAGGCACCTGTCCCAGGGTCATTCTCCCTAGAAAGACCCAAACAAGCTGGGCGCGGTGGCTCACACCTGTAATCCCAGCACTGTGGGAGGCCGAGGCGGGTGGATCACAAGTTCAGGAGTTTGAGACCAGCCTGACCAACATGGTGAAATGGTGAAACCCCATCTCTACTAAAAATACAAAAATTAGCCGGGCATGGTGGCGCACACCTGTAATCCCAGCTACTCAGGAGGTTGAGGCAGGAGAATTGCTTGAATCTGGGAGGCGGAGCTTGCAGTGAGCCGAGATTGTGCCACTGTACTCCAGCCTAAGCGACAGAGCAAGACTCTGTCTGGAAAAAAAAAAAAAAAAAAAAAAAAGGCCCAAACCATCCCAGGGAATTCAGTTCAAGCCACTTCTCCCTCACTGTGTTCTCCATGCTGCTGCCTGGGGCTGCTGGCCCCCTCCCTGTCTGCAACGGACTCTGACCCCTGGACCAGGACACCCAGCAGGCTCCCCAGGACCACAGATTCTGTCTGACCTTGGGGATTCTCTGGTGTTTCTGAAAATTGCTGAAAGCTTCCAGTGGCCATTGCTATGTTATTTGCTAGTCGGCTAAAAAGTTAAACTCCATTTTTATATGGTCTAGATTAGAAGAGAGGAAGAAACACTCCAGAGGCATCAGAGGCTCAAGAAAATGCCTAGAATGAAGTTCAGACCATCAAGAAGTCCCCGGTGGCTCAGGCACATTCACTGTTTGTTCATTCCTCTGACAGTCACGGACAGCCCCCTGTGGACAAGGCATGGTGGCGGGCTGGGGACAGTCTTCTACTAGGAGGATGGGGAAGACCTGAGAACAGTGCAGGAACAGAAGGAACAAATGTGCGGGCTGTGGGTCACAGTATAATAGGAACACAGGACAGAGGCTGAAGATGGCCCCAGGATTTGAGTTACGAGGCCAGTGCTGTGCTATTAGCAACCAAGGGGACCTGGAAAGGATTGGAAGGGGAAGGTCTTGAGGAGAGGCTCCTGGTAGGTTTTTTCTGATCAATAGTCCCAAGGGTCAAAAATATCAACAGTGACAGTCAGTGCTGGGATCATTCTCCCTCACAGATCTGAACCCTTGAGTATGTTGATTTTAATGACAGGGACGTTCTTTATCCAGCCTTATGCCTGACCAACTCTGATTCATCCTTCAAGTGAGGAGATATCTCTTCACCCTCGAAGCTTTCCCTGATGCACACCCCCCGGGCCAGGGCCTGCCCCAGAGCTCCCCACTGCCACCATCACTTCCCCAGTGCAGGCCCTTACCCCCGTCTGGCCTGTTGGGCTTATTGACTGAGGCCCCCACCCTCCCCAGCCAGCAGCATGCCTGCCCCACAAAGCTATCCAGCAAATACAGATTGAGACACAAATGGATGAAAGACATGGAAGGAATGTATGGATGGAATGGAGGGATGGAGTGGACACATGGAATGGATGGATAGATGGAGTGGATGGATGGAGTGGATGGGTAGAATGGATGGATGGAGTGGATGGATGGAGTGGACGGATGGAGTGGACAGATGGAATGGGTGGATGGAGTGGATGGATGGAATGGATGGATGGAATGGATGGATGGAATGGATCGATGGAGTGGACGGATGGATGTAATGGATCAATGGAGTGGATGGATGGAGCAGACAGATGGAGCAGATGGATAGAGTGAACAGATGGAATGGATGGATGGAGTGGACAGATGGAATGGATGGATAGATGGAGTGGACGGATAGAGTGGAGGGATGGAGTGGACAGATGGATGGAGTGGACGGATGGAGCAGACGGGTGGAGCAGAGGGATGGAGTGGATGGATGAAGTGGACGGATGGAGTGGATGGATGGATGGAGTGGATGGATGGAGTGGATGGATGGAATGGATAGATGGAGTGCACGGATGGATAGAGTGGATGGATGGAGTGGATGGATGGAGTGGACGGATGAAGTGGACGGATGGAATGGACACATGGAGTGGACGGACGGAGTGGACGGATGGAATGGATGGATGGATGGATGGAGTAGATGGAGTGGATGGAGTGGACGGATGGAGTGGGTGAAGTGGATGGAGGGAATGGATGGATGGATGGATGGATGGAGTGGACGGATGGAATGGACAGATGGAGTTGATGGATGGAATGGATGGATGGATGGATGGAGTGGAGTGGACAGATGGAATGGACGGATAGAATGGATGGATGGAATGGATGGACGGATGGAGTGGCTGGATGGAATGGATGGATGGAATGGACGGATGGAGTGGATGGATGGAATGGACGGATGGAATTGGATGGAGTGGATGGATAGAGTGGATGGATAGAGTAGATGGATGGAATGAACGCATGGAATGAATGGATGGAATGGACAGATGGATGGAGTGGATGGATGGAATGGACGGATGGGATGGATGGAGTGGATGGATGGATAGATGGAGTGGACGGATGGAATGGACAGATGGAGTCAATGGATGGGATGGGTGGATGGATGGATGGAGTGGACAGATGGAATGGACGGATGGAATGGATGGATGGAATGGATGGACGGATGGAGTGGATGGATGGAATGGATGGATGGAGTGGATGGATGGAACAGATGGATGGAATGGATGGATGGATGGAGTGGACGGATGGAGTGGATGGATGGAGTGGATGGATGGAGTGGACGCATGGAATGGACGGATGGAATGGACGGATGGAATGGATGGATGGAGTGGAGGGATGGAGTGGATGGAGTGGACGGATGGAGTGGATGGATGGAATGGATGGATGGGATGGATGGAGTGGACGTATGGAATGGATGGATGGATGGATGGATAGATGGAGTGGACGGATGGAATGGACAGATGGAGTTGATGGATGGATGGATGGATGGAATGGATGGACGGATGGAGTGGATGGATGGAATGGACGGATGGAGTGGATGGATGGAATGGATGGATGGAATGGATGGATGGAATGGACGGATGGAGTCGATGGATGGAGTGGATGGATGGAATGGACGGATGGAGTGGATGGATGGAGTGGATGGATGGAATGGACGGATGGAGTGGATGGATGGAGTGGACGGATGGATTGGATGGATGGAGTGGATGGATGGAACGGACGGATGGATTGGATGGATGGAATGGACAGATGGAGTGGATGGATAGAATGGCCTCCTCTTTGTCTAAAACCCCCAGTAGCTACGAATTCCCCCAACAACTACTACACACTGCCCTGCACATGATCACGTTCGGTAAGTTGTGTGAGAGGGCAGGAGGGAGAAAATGGAGCTGCCTGCCTGCCTCACGAGCACCTTTCACCATTTTGATCACATTTCCAGATGCAGCACCACCCTCTGCTCTCACTTCTTTCCTCCCAGACCAGGGAAGCATTGGATGGTGGTTCATGAGGTGCTGGAGGAGCTAAAGAAATTGCTGTCATCGTTTTGTCAAATCCAGGGCCTTTATGTTTTAAAATAGATATACAAAGAGATCACATTTTACCTGGTAAAATCATGACAAACTGAGCGGACAAAAAAAAAAAAAAAACCTATAAACATTTGGCACAACAGAGCAAAAATCATAATTCCTATAATTATTTTTAAACTGTGAAACTATTGTAGAGCATTGAATAGATGTATATTAAAGCCATGTATGCTTTATTTGCTTATGACATGAAATTCTGGTTTCTGTGTGTTCCACCTTCCTATTTTATTCTTAGGATAATAGGATATGATGTGATGCTTTACTCATAGTTAGAGGGAGAATTGACTGTGAATGAGCAGTTCAGAGAGAAAGGATCTTGGGCTTGGCAAGGGCAGGGGCCTCCAGCGTTTTGAGAAAAATGAATTGAGCCTCAGCTTATTTTATAAAAATCTTGACCCAGAGCGTGGCCCTTCTGAACTCCCACCATGTTTATGCATGGTAATATATTAAAAATTGGACTTAGCTAGTAGCCAAATACAGTGCTGTGTTCTGGATACTAAAACAAACTAATTCTCCCTGCTAAGTAAGAAAAATTTCACACATTATCGTCAGTCAGACATGGAAAGAGGTTCTCCAGGGGAAGAGAGAGAAGCAACATCATTCATGTGATTTAAAATTACACCAGGCCATCCATTTATCTGCCTCTCAGGCTGTTTGTCCTTTTTTGAACGATGCTTCAGGGCTCCACGCTGGAAACGGGGAGGGTGGATGTAGAACAGCTTGTCAATGTAATCATTTTACTATAAATCTGCAAAAAAAGAAACAGAGCCTAAACCAAGTATAAAATAGGATCACAGAACCTCCTATGAGCAACTTTGTAAGATTATCCTTTCTAGTGTGAGTACTACCACAATAAACATGATGACATATCCTTTATCACTATGTTGCCCAAAGATTTTTTTTCAGATTTCAGTGGACTCCTCCCCTGCCACTCTTAACAGCCCTGCTCCTCCAAACATAGCTGTATGGAGAGAGATGTCCATCACAGGGATGTTTATACAAAAACATCAAAACACTCATTTTTTCAGGCTGGAAACGGTGGCTCACCCCCGTAATCCCAACACTTTGGGAGGACAAGGTAGGTGGATCACCTGAGGTCAGGAGTTCGAGACCAGCCTGGCCGACATGGCAAAACCCCGTCTCTACTAAAAATACAAAAATTAGCCAGGCATGGTGGCACACGCCTGTAATCCCAGCTACTCGGGAGGCTGAGGTGGGAGAATCACTTGAACCTGGGAGGCAGAGGTTGCGGTGAGCCGAGATTGCGCGACTGTGCTCCATCCTGGGTGACAGATCAGATTCCATCTCAGGAAAGGAAAAAAAAAACACTCATTTTTTAGGTGAAGTTAATTGACTGGGAGGACTTTATGGAACATTTTGGTTCTTTTCCTACTGCTGAAATTTGAATAGAAAGGCATGAGGTAACCTCATGCCATCACTACGAAAGGCTACCAGAAATGATAGAAAACCTCACACAGTATCAGCTACATTGGTGGAGTCCACCTGAATCCCAGAAATTCAGTTCAACAATGTCACTGAGTTCACCAGACTACTGGGAAAGGGATTCATGTAGAGACAGTTGTAAAAATATTGACCCTAACAGAGAAAGATTCACTGCAGTCAGAAGAGATGCCACGAAGTCAGGTCTCAACTCCTGGAGAGGCTCTTTCTGTGCTGTGCAAAAATGTATGTTTATCCGACTTCCCAGGCCTTGAGGTACAGCAAGGAATGCCAGTGTTGGATGTTCTACAAGTGAGGACACTGGAGCCTCAAGAAATAATCTGACTTGCACAACTCCTGTCACTGATTAGTGGCTAAGGACATCCTGATTTCTGCTCCAGAACTTTCCCCATGACATCAGTCTTCCCATCCTTGAAGAGTTTTCAGTTATTCTTAGCGTGACAAGTGATTGCTAGAGTTTGTGTAATTTTCATCATAATGGGACTAATGACCCACAACAGCAGTTCTAGTGACTTCCAGAAGATGTTGTACATCCCCATCCTAATGAATGGCAGCAGCATGACTTACGTTCTTTTATCAGAGAGTCTAGTTTGATCTGAGTTGTGTCTGACCTGGAATTCAGGCATGTCTGGGGCTAGGAAGGTTTTGGGTTCGAGGAGGCTGTTTTCATGAGGGATCCCAGGGTCTCTTGGGAAGGAATTCACTCAAGGGAGGACAGAGGCAAGAGAAGCACAGTTCACTCTCGGGGCTGAAGGCAGCATGGGTTTTAGGTGCAGCCTGGTGACAGTCAATCGGGTGGCCTACCATGTAGTGATTAAGACTTTGGAAAAGCAGGCTATAAGCAAAAATCTAAATTTGCTACACAATAACTTGGCAAGACAATGGAGCAGTGGCTGGCACCATGGACCTTGGTAAGAAACACTAGAAAAGTTAGGAAAAGGGGTTTTTCCAGGTCAGAGAGAGCCAGTGCATGCTGGTGGACCCACAGTTCTGTAGCTATGAGAAATAGCCCCATCTGGTTGTGCAGGAACCACAGGCTGCACTAGCTGCTTTAGTTGTGACCGCAGAAAGCACCCTGCCCCAGCATGGAGCACCAGGGCCTGCACACCTTTGCCAGGCCCCAGAAGCACTGCCACTGCCATGATACCCAAGAAGAGAGAGATTAGCAAGTGCTTTGTACCAGAGGGGAGGGCTGCCCATGCAAAGGCCTGCCTGGGGGAACTCCAGCAATCATTGGGGGAGACTTTGGGAGAGTGGAGAGAAGGGGCCTCCTGAAAAGACACAGCCAGGGGAAACCTACTTTCATGATATCAAGACTCTAATTTTAGAGGGCAGTGTTTGCAGATCCTACCAATGACTCTTTGTCCTTGAGTCTGTGTTTGAGGTGGAACCACTCAAAGACGGGGAAGATGAGGCACCTGGAGCCAGGCGCCTGGTCTTTGTGTCTGCACTTAGCCAAATTCCCTCTCAGCTGTATTGTGTCTGGAGGAAATAGAAGCATGACTAAGCTGATTTGTATTCTGCCAACCAAGGGAAAATATAATTAACACGGCAGCAAGACTCAGCAAACCCCATGGGAAAGTCCAAGAAGGAAAGAGCTCCCGTGGCTCAAGATGATGTCAGAGGCAAAGAGAGGCCAACCCACTCTAATCCCACAGCAGGTCTCCTCTCTAATACCTCAACTCATAAAGGGAAAAGACAATGAAATCCAGGCCTGCCATGCCTTTGAAAAGAACACACAGCCTCTAGGAGTGATTGCAGGGATTGAGCAGACTGTGATGGGGGTTTTCTCATGATGGGAGTCTCCTGCTGTTGCTGAGTGCTGCCAATCACTGCCCACACCTCCAGCAGGGAGGTGACTTCCTCAGGCTCTGCTACTCCACATCAACTGATTAACGCAGCTGTGATAGCACACCTAGCAGAGACAAGAGACTCCCAGACACTAGGCAGGAGTGAGACCAACTGCTGTATCAGATATACACCTAGCTTATAATTACGTGTCAAGAGAAGGAAGATTAGGCAGACATCAGTAACCGCAAGAACTGAAATGTGATGGCTGGTATCCATCTTCAGCCTGCTCCCCAGCTAATCATCCCCTAAAAGAAATGCGGGAGAAAGCTGCCTCCTAATACATTTCATTGGCCCTTCATCTCCGTCTGCTGACTCACATTTGAATTTAGAGACAATTTGCTAAACTTTCTAGATTTTTATTTACTTAACATTGCCTTAGCCTTTTTGATATATTCAACTATAGTATTCTCCAGGTTTAAATATTGTACGTTTTTTTTCACAACTTTAACAAATTAGTGCTCAGTTCTCCTGGCTTGAAATTCCCATATCTTTCATGAAGCTGTTGAAACTAAAAGGCTTAGGAGGAAGGTCACCCACCTCCCTCATTCTCCTTCCCTTCTTGCCCAGAGGAATTTATGTCTGTCTTCCTGCCCCAATATCTACATATCCAGCCATGACTACATTGTTTGGTTTAAGTAACTGCCTCTCATTACAGAACTAGATTCATTTATTCATTCATTCTACAAAAACTTGAAGAACATTTATGCTGGATTTGAATCCAGTGTCAGAATTGTCTTTGATTGGTTCTATCTTATTTCATAGATTTGGGGTTTGAATTTAATAGCTAAGCATATAAATATAATTTTATGCAAGATAGCACCTTAATTCTAGTCCTTATTTAATACAAATAGTGATATAATGAAATGATATAGTTTTATCTAGTTTCATCTAGAGAAATATGGAAGGAAAAATACAAATAGTTAAAAAAAGGAGGAAGGCTGAAAATATATAGCAGTTGATATGCTTCTCAGAGTCATCTTTTACTAATCAGTAGCAGTGGTGATGGTCTTTTAAAAAAAAAAAGTTTCGGTTGCTTTTAAAAAGAGATTTCCAGTGGGAAGCCTGTGAGTACTGACTGGCTCCTGTCTAACCTACACTTCCTGTTTGGTTGATGAAAAAGAAAAAAAAAAAAGCCAAAACTAAAAGGTACATTCCAGAACAAGTAGTCATTTTAACAACTGGCGGAGCCAAGAAAATGCGATCTAGTTTCCCTCTGTCCCCCAGTCTAGAGCCATTATTAAATAATTTAATGCCATAGAACTTATATCAAAAATAGACACATTCCTTAGGAAACATTTGAAACTTACTGGTTTTGACCTTAAAATGTAATCATTCATGAAGAGATCAATCTTTCATATGTTTTCAAATATGAAACACTCAAGTCCATTGTCAGAATCCCAATAGTGTGGAAAGAAACCTACCAGGGCAGGCTTATCTCTGCTCATTCTTTGCTAAAATATCCATTGCATTTGCTAACTGTGAAACGATGGGTAGGTTACTTCACTTCTCTGAGCATTGAAGATGCCCTGTCTACAAAGGATAACAGTCTCTCTCCCAGGGGTAGCTGTAATTGTGAAATTAGGCAACATATATAGGAAGGTGCCTAATGGAGTGGCAATCATTTATTCATTCATTCCCGAAATATTTATCGATTGGCCACAATGCCCAGGCACAGAGCAAGGTGCTAGTGATATCAACACGGGGGACACTTCACATTTCCCCCCATTCCTCCCTAACGGTGCAGCAGACACCCCACTAAAGCTGAGGAGGCCCCTGCTGCTCCCCCTCCCTCTCTGCTCCCTGAGTCTGTGAGAGGCATCGCTCCAGCCTCCCAAGAAAGCCCTCCCCCTGCACATCCAAGCAGCTCCCTCTTATCCTGATGCCCTGACCCGCCTGCCCACAAGGAGCCTCCTCCCTGAGCCGGGAGGACTTTCCTTCTCTCCTATGACAAGCCCTGGCCCTAGGCAGCTGAAAACAATCACCCAGGAAGCTCCTTCACCGTCAGATTCCCTGACAGCCCTGGATCTAGCGAGAATCAGGTGATTTCGATGTGAAACGAGGTTTGGGAACCACTGCTTTCAGTCACATTCTTTTTGTTTGATCTTCTCAGAATCAGCAGGCATTTCCCTCTGCTACTTTGTCCAAGATCCAACCCTTCTCATCTGCGTCTTGCCAGTCTCTCCACTTTAGAGCTTTGTTACCAGCTACTTCTAACCTCTTGCACAGAAATCTCTACTCACCACTGTGGAGAGTGAAAAAGGAATGGGTTTTTATGTATTTCTAGCCAGCTCTTGGCCCTGCGCCATGCAGAGTATATGCTGTACATTGGACTTTCGGGACACTTCTCTGTTAAATTCTAAGCCTTATGTCTGTGGTGTCTCCACAGTGAGTAAGCTCTTAATCACATTCCCTATTGTACCTTCTTAGATGAAAGAGCAATGGGTCAGGGGGACTTTTTAAATGTCCTTAAACTTGATTAGTTTAATCTTTATTATGGCTACAGAATGTTTCTTAAATTTACATACGATAAAATCCACTATTTTATATTAAGTAGAGTTATGAGTTTTGACAAACAAATATATTCAGGTAGCCACCACCATAATCAACACACAAAGCAATCCATTACCCCCAGATTTCCCTTACATCCTTTGTTGTCCCCCTCATCCTGTACTTCCAGCCCCTGAGAGCCACTTATCTGATTTCTGTCCCGACAGTTTGCCTTTTCCACAATGTCATGTTATATAAATGGAGACATACAATATGCTGATGTGAGCATTTAGAAAGATCATGTATTTAAACAATTATTAGAGTAAGGGCTGGCTATGGTGACTTAATTTTTTGGTTTCTGACACCTATAATCTGATTTGAAGTGTGTCATTCTGTGCATCATGATCCTTTTTGCAGAACCTGTGTCTATTAGAAAATCCAGATGAAGCAGGCTCTTCCTGTTGTCCTTCATTTGGAAAAGACAGAAGAACAGAGCGCTTTACGAAAGTCAAGTTACAGCTTCCTAATTTTCTCTCCCATGGACAAACTCTTCCCTCCCCCCACCCCGACCTAGCCTCTTACCCACTATCCTTTGCAAATTCCTATCTCTTATATTGCCCAGTAATTGGGGCGTGGGGGGGTGAGGGGGGGGTGAGTTACTGCTGATGAACCAGGAGGCAGAGCAAGGTTTATTTTGCTAAAGGCTTCAGCTGCTACTGCCTGGACCTCAATAAGCATTTTCTGCTCTTTCCTATCACTACTGTCTTCCCTTTCTTTGAGAAGCAACATAAAGATAAAAAGAAAAATACTTGATTTTGTAGCATGCCAGAATATTAAGATGCTCCTGAAAAGTGTGGGATTTAAGGCTTCTCAAAAAAGAGCAGAGGAGGGAGTGAGAGAAGAAGACGGAGAAGGAGGAGAAGGGGAAGAGAAAGGGGAGGTGGAAGAAGAAAAAACCACCATCAGAAACTGAGTATTACACAGGACGTAACCTGTGCTCTGAGAGTGAAGGAGGCCACACAGCAGTAGAACCCCGACAGGAAAATCAGAAAACATTATATTTTTTCCCAGATCCCAGAGTATCAGATGTTCCATTCAGAAATAATCCCTATTGACCCAGTCTCTGTGTCTCTCTCTCTGCCAATAGCATCAAGCACAGTAACCCTTTCCATGCTAATCCCGTTATTAATGCCATCCACAACAAGCGTAGTGTAAGTAAGACACGAAGTGTAAAAAAACTTTCTTCCCCGCAGTCCGGGCTCTCAGAGCCCTCCTTGTAGGTCAACAGTATCAAAGGTGCTTAACGCAGATACACCAGGAGGCTCAAAGCCCAAACATCGAAAAAAAAAAAAAGACCCACTCTTGTGCTGTGTGTATTGCCCACGGGTGGGAGGATGCAAGTACAATTACGTTTTTTAAAACTCCAGTCCAGATATTGGCTTTTCCTTGGATACTTTTGTGTGGCTCTCCCAGTACAGTCAGATCCGCCGCCGCAGCCTAGCGCTCCACCCCGGGTTTTGCGTCCTCCCCTCACCTGCCTTTCAGTGGTGCGGGGTTTGATCCCGAGAGCGGTGGACTCAAAGCTGCCCGCCGGGACTCGGGCTGCCGGCCGACAAAGGACGGTCCTCGGGGGTTCTGAAGTCTGACCCGGCCAGTGGGAAAGCCACCTGCATCACAAAGCGAGGGGCACACCTGAACCGGGGCTGGCGGGAAGAGGCAAGTATTGCGCGCGGGCTGGCTCCCACATGGAGCTGCCTCCCGGTGCAAGTGTTGCAAGGGTGCGCTGCTCCAGCCCGGGGAGCGCGGGAGGCGGCGGAGAGAGCGTCCGGGTGATGAGCGGGGCACTGTAACTGGATTTTAACACCTCTGCAAGCAGCGCTTTTGGTCAAAAAATTTCCGATTCTTGATCTTCTCTCTGCAAGGTCGGGGGTTCTTTGGGGAGTAAATCACAGCGTTTGGGTTTGCATTCGAAGCACTACCAAGTCTACTCCACAGGGTCACTGCACGGGGAGCAAGTAAAGGAAAACGAGGAGAATCTGAGAGTGCTCCTTCGTGCAGTGTGTGTGTGTGTGTGTGTGTGTGTGTGTGTGTGTAGGCAAAGCTGAGATTTACATGGTGTGAACTGTTAAATGTTAACAGTTAAATCCCACACTTTTCAGGAGCATCTTAATATTCTGGCATGCTATAAAATTTTTGAGACTTGTTTAAAGAAGGGGACTTCCTTTTTAATTTAGAACAAATTAGTAGTTGTTATAACATTATAGATACTAATCAGTAACAATACTAGTAGGTAATGCTTTCTGTAAGTAGACACACCCCAAAAGTATCTGAAAAGTATCACCAAAACGGAGCGTGCTTTCACACTCCTGCAAAACAAATTAGCCCTTAAACAGAATAATTAACATCCCGAGGGAAGATAAAGCATATAGGTTCCTTGAATCATTACGTTACATTTAAAGTCGGTCCTGTTCAGTTTGCCTTTGTCCCTAAGGAGTAAAAATAGCATCAAATTGCTTGTTTGGTTTTCCCCTTTTGAAACTCAGCATAGTGTTTGGTTATCCATGAAGGTGGCTTTAATATTTCACCCTCATATTTGGCAGACAGTTCTGGACTTGCTCCTCTCCCCGTAGGGACTGAGTCCCACTGGCAGTGTGTGGAGAATAGAATTGATTCTCGCTTTTTCTTTGCATAATACCTAATCATCACCATTAGCACTTCAGACGTTCACAGCTTTCTGAATAGGTGTCATTTCTTCCACATACCCTATTGATTTGCATCATTAACAATTGAAAGGAAGCTCTTCTTTTGATTAAGAAGCCAAACAATTAGGAAAGCGTGGATTCTTTCATAGTATTTATTGAGAGGCGTCTCCACCTGATCTAGGCTGTGTTTAATGGGATGAGAGAGACTAAGAGAGAACAGAAAGTGTAATTACCGCCTCTCCAGGCCCGTCTTTACTTTTTCCAGAAACAGAGAATTATGAAATTATTTGTAATGTTACAAGGACCCTTGGAGCTCTTCTAGTGCAAGTCAAGTTTATTTCACAAACGGGAGGTCTAGACAGCCTTTGTTTCTTCTGAACGGGTCTGCAAGGCCAAGATCTGGATTCTGACCCACAGCGACTGCTGATCCAGGAATTCCATGCACATATGCTATGCACTTAGCGCTGATTGTGAAGAAACACCAAGGTGGCCCGTCAAGACCTGAACTACCACAGGTCTAACTTGGGAAAGCCTCATTCCTCACGTTCTTTCCGCTTCTACTGTAATGGTACTGTGCCTCTTGCCAGCCCACACTTATTCATTTGAAATGTGCACTTTGGAAGTTCACTGCA
Source organism: Homo sapiens (assembly GCF_000001405.40). NCBI lineage: Eukaryota > Metazoa > Chordata > Mammalia > Primates > Hominidae > Homo > Homo sapiens. The sequence continues at coordinate 126,379 of NT_187564.1, forward strand.
TTTAATCGATTCAGAGGATTTCTTTTTTTTTTAATTTTTTTTTTAATCAGTAGCTGAGCTATACTACCTAGTTCTAATCCGTAATAGTGTGTTAAAAGACTGTTTTCTGTGTAGTTGCTGGCTGTTATTTAAATCCCAAGGCTGCTGAAAGTTGGTAATAGAACCAATAATAGCAACCATTACTCAAAAGTCTATTGCTTACTATTAACTATAATAATTAACTATTAAGTATTGATATTGTCCCCATCAATTTTTAGGCGTTACCTAACATTATCCCCATTTTACAGATCAGAAAACGGAGGCTTCAGAAAGGTGAAGTTACTAGCCCAATGTCACTCACCTTCTAAGGTGGGGAGCAGAAGCCAGGTTGGTCTGACCCCTAAGCTCATGGTCTTTCTATACTACCTTAGTAGTATAGAAATGTTCTAACTTTCACATTCCCGGATGTCTGAGCTCAAGACAAATTTTAAATAAATTAGCGTGGCTTTGATGTTCTCTCACTAGTGAAAGGGTCTATAACACTTTAGGCAAAATGCATTGAAATTATGTTAAACCTTCATACACTGCCAATAAGCAATGACTTCCCAGAAACCATACTCCACATTTGACCCAGTCTCTAATTTAGTGAGAAGGTGAGATGCATGGAAAGAAGGCAAAGGAGAGTGACTAGTGACCCCCAGAAAAGGGAATCTCTTCCCGAGGTTTGTGTTGTGCCCTGTGGAGCTGAGAGGAGAGTAGGGAATTGATGGAGCAGAGGCTTAGCCAACGCATCTGAAAGAGAAGAGTGTTTTATGTCTTTAATTTCTTCTTGTCAGAATCAACCAAGCCCAGAGCTATTTACGTGTTGAGAAGGGTCTCCCATGGAGAGGCCTTCCCAGTGGCCCTTCTACTCTCTGCTGCGGTGGTTTATCATGTCTTCAAAACAGACTCGCCACCAGGCTTCCAACAGGATAATACAAATGTGAAATTTTTGTCCTCAATAAAGAGTCAGAAATGATGACCATTCTGCCACTTTCATCATTTTAAAATCTGTATTCCTGAAAACTGGCCTCGAATTTATTTCTGTATAGTCCAAGGTATTGATTTGAAAGTGAGAGGCTAGCATGAAAGCCAACACTTCTCAACTTTAAAAAAAAATGCCTTAATATTTAGTATTTTCTCATTCTAATGTATCCTGTAAGTGTTCTTTCTGTACTTCTTGTTAAGGCATGGCTGTGTAAACTTCAGAGGGTTTTGGGAACAGCCTCCATTGTCATCCACTTTTCATTCTAAAATCTTGGTATATCTGTGCATACATGCACAAGGCCTCCCATGATTGCACTGCTTTTACGAATAATCATAGTCAAAATTCATTTTTTAATACTGCTAGCTCAATTTTTATTTCTTATTCCTTTGAAATTGATCATCATTTGGACAGGGACTGCATTAAAGCTCAACACTGACCTTCATTGTGGCCACAGGAAGAAAAGATCTGCTAAATGAACAAATACTGTGATCGATATTGTGCAATGGCTTGAGGGAAAAAGGAGGTTTTAACCACTTAAAGTAAGCCCTTTTAGAAACAAAAACTATTTCAGTGAAAATGCTAATCCTACACCTCTCCAAAGTAAATGTGCTTAGAGGACACCAGCCAGAGTTTCTTTACAATGGGAAGTTGCCTTCCAACAAGAAAGGGTTTTCAAAGTGCAGAAGAAAACTTTATCTGGAAAAGGTGAGAAGCAGAGAGCCTCCAGGCTCCAGCCCCACACACTCTCATCTTCAATTAATACTCCACAAAGGGAAAGTTCCATTGTGGGCCACAGCACTCCCTGCTTGAGAACCTGTAGGGACTTAACCGCTGGGTTTATCCAATGAAGTGTCTGAGGTCCCCGCTGTTTAGCTTGGCCCTCCACTCTCTGTTCCCAATTTCGTAACCACTACCTCAGCCAGTCTCCCCAGCAGAGCACTTTTATCTTATAGCCATGAGGCATCTGTGACATGTCCCACAACACATCACAAACTCTATTTGTCCTCCAATGCTCAGTGACCTTATTTTCCCAGGCAAAAGTGGCTCCCGTCCCGGTGCCCACTAAGCCTTGATACCAGCCCACAGTACAGTGCTTCTCAGACTAGGTCGTCTCAGCATTTGTCAATGTATTTTATTTATGTTTCGACGTCCAGTCTGTTCATCTTCAGTACAGGACTGGGTCATACTCATCTTTCCATCCTTTCCCTTGTCCACCTTCCTTTCTTCGATTTGAATATTTTCTGTAGTTGCTCCATTAATCAGTAATTAATTAATTGCAGAAATGTATTTCCCAAGATGTAGATAAGTCACACCTCAGAATGCTACAAACATTTGTAGATGTGACTGATCAGTAATTGTCAGGAGACTTTGTCAATCTGGAGAGGTGCTGAAAAACAGAGACAAGAAAATGTCAACTTTCAAAAATACTCATTTAAAAAAGTAGTTTCCAAGAAAAGCGTAGACTGGCAAAAGGATGATTGACAAAATTCTGGACTAGATTACTAAATAGGTGATATGTGAGAATTTAGAGGAGAATCGTGTGATTTGCATAATCCAACATGAGTTCCCCGGAATCAAGCCATCCCATGTGAACCATATATCTCTTTTATATATAGGTTCTGAAACTGGTGAAATGGGGACCACTTGAGGTTAGAGATTCGTAATTCAGTGTTGCCTCTGATCAGCCTGGAATTGTAGTTTATATGCCAGCAACTGCATGTAGCCTGAGGGCTCCCATGACTGGGCTACAGCCAATTGATCACAATCTAATGATACCCCTAGGAGTGCCTTGGGTGAGAGCGTTGTCCGGGGCAAACCTTATGAAACTTTGTCAGATGGTCTTCACACAGCATTTCTTGATTTTAGCAGAGCCTTTGACTCAGTCTCTCCTAGCAGATTTTTTCACTTACTCCACAGATATTTATTTAGGTGTTTATTCAGTGTCAAGCATTGTATTAGGTGTTCAGTGTTTGTGGCTCAGAAGCAAATTCTGACTTAGTTGATAATATGGAGAGCAAAACCGAGTCAAAAATTGATTGCCTGAAATTATCTTTGGAACTGCAGGAAGTCAATCGATTGATGAATTCATGTGTGTCCGGGTCTCTGGGGTACACTGTGTGCTCCCCCATTCACTCCAGTCCCTGCTCAGAGTCCTTCTCCAATCACCTCCTCTATAAAAGCACCTTGCCCCATCATTTCCTATTCCCTCATGCTGTTTTATTTTTCATCTTTGCACATTTTATTCTCTGCAATGATCTTATTCACACAAGCAGTCCTGTAGTTGCCTGCTCTCTGCCCCCTTGCTTGGAATGTGGTATGAATCTAGGGAGGCATTTCACAGGGCTGGGTCTTTTGTTCCTTGCCGTCCATTCAATATGTCTATCAGTGACAATTGTTGTCATTCCTGCTAATCTAATTTGCAGATGATAGAAAGTGAGGAGGCAGAGCTGGCATGGTAAATAAGGGGATCAAAATGTACATCAGCAGCATATGTGAAAGCACTTTGATAATTGAAGAATTATAATTAAATGCAAGTTATCATTTTTTAAGTGCGTATAAATCTAAGCCAAAACCAATAAAATGAAAGTATCAAGGTTAAATATAAGCTCATGCATTTAGGTTCAAAAAATCAATTACACAAATTCAAAATAAAGGAGACCTAAGAGGGCAGCACAGTCCATGCCGCGATTTAGCCATGAGCTGGGCGACTCTAGGGCTGCAACACAGTCCCCGAGTGGTGGAGCCATGGCTGGAAATTCTTCGAATGTTATCAGTTAGGAGGGCCACATGGTGAGGTGGACATTACCAAGCCCGAGTGTGGCCAGTGGAGGGTCACTCAGAACAGCAGCAGGAATTGGGACGTTTAGCCTGAAGGAGAGGGGACTTAGGGAGGTGGGGACCCATCTTTAACTCTCTGCGGGGTTCACATGGAGGAGACGGGCATGTGTGTGCTGAGTGCTAAGTTAGAACCTCTGGGTCCTGGGGGGCAGACTTTCATTCAAGGTACGGAGAATGATGGGAGCCCAGGGCCAGAAGCCTATAACCCACAGCATCTGGACGAATACTGAGCGCTGTCACTAGATTCTATTTTTATTTGTTTGTTTGTTTGTTTGTTTATTTTTTGAGACAGAGCCTTGCTCTGTCACCCAGGCTGGAGTACAGTGACGCAATCTCAGCTCACTGCAACCTCTGCCTCCCAGGTTCAAGCAATTCTCCTGCCTCAGCCTCCTGAGTAGCTGGGACTACAGGCACCCGCCACCATGCCCGACTCATTTTTTGTATTTTTACTATTTTACTCTACTATTTTAGAAGAGATGGGGTTTCGCTATGTTGGCCAGGCTGGTCTCGAACCCCTGACCTCGTGATTCGCCCATCTCGGCCTCCCAAAGTGCTGGGATTACAGGCGTGAGCCACCGTGCCCGGCCGTCACTAGATATTTAAAGAGAAACTGGACAACTGTGGGGCAGAGGCCAGCTCTTAAGAGGGATCCTGGCTTTGGGTTGGATCTTCAATTGTCTTTGTTCTTTGTCTTTCCAAGTCTAACATTCTTATCTGTTCTAAACTTCCGTATTTTTATTTGTTCTGACTGATTTTTTTTTCTTGGTGTGACATTTGATGTAAATAGTACTTAGCAGGCTTAGCAACTCCTATATGAAAGTGCTTTGAAATTTGCTGGGCTTTGGAATCTCTGTTGTTTTTGCCCATTAAGTAATTCCCTCCCATCCCTCTTCAATGTTCCCCTTTCCCTATCAACCAGCCCTTTCTGCAGGTTGGAGTTTGATAGACTTGGCACTTGGCACACCCCCTGAGCGCCAGTGTCACCCTCTGCGTTGTGAATTTATAGATGGAGACCCCTTCATCCTTTTACAGTCGTGCTCTGATCCTGGGGTCCCTGAGGTCCAGAGCAGAACCTGAACTCTGAGTATCAGGCAAGCGCATCTTACTTCAAAAAATGGGAAGAACAATTTAAAAATGCAACTTGGATATGTTTTTATAAGATATTCCCGCTTTCTGTTTTCTACACTTATTTAGCATTTTAACATTTTCAGAATACGTGAAAATTAGATTTAGTTTCTTTTTTAAATGTGAAATATAAGAAAATTATGATTACCCGTAACACATTTGTGATTAAAAGTACATTTTTTAGGAAAAAAGTATTGTTTCCAGGGAACAATTTTCTATTAAGTTGGTGCAGTAATGATTGCGATTTTTGCCATTGAAAGTAATGCTTAGGCCGGGTGCGGTGGCTCATGCCTTTAATCCCAGCACTTTGGGAGGCCAAGGCAGGCGGATCACCTGAGGTCAGGAGTTCGAGACCAGCCCGGCCAACATGGTGAAACCCCATCTCTACTAAAAATACAAAAATTAGCCAGGTGTGGTGGCAGGCACCTATAATCCCAGCTACCTGGGAGGCTGAGGCAGGAGAATTGCTTGAACCTGGGAGGCGGAGGTTGCAGTTAGCCAAGACCGAGCCATTGCACTCCAGCCTGGGCAACAAGAGTGAAACTCCATCTTTAAAAAAAAAAAAAAAAAAAAAAAAATTAATGGTTAAAACCACAATTACTTTTGCACCAACCTAATACTTAGAAAGATGCAATAATACTAGATGGTTACCTTTAACTTACAGGTTTCGGGTTTCACAGAAACAACAGCAAACCCAATAGTGCTTCACTCAGTTTCCCTCCCAAAGACAGCAAAGAGAGAAAATTAACTACCTGGCCAGGCGCAGTGGCTCACGCCTGTAATCCCAGCACTTTGGGAGGCCGAGGCTGGAGGATCACCTGAGGTCAGGAGTTTGAGACCAGCCTGGCCAACATGGTGAAACCCCGTCTCTACTAAAAATACAAAAATTAGCCAGGCATGGTGGTGGGTGCCTGTAATCCCAGCTACTTGGGAGGCTGAGGCAGGAGAATCGCCTGAACCCGGGAAGTGGAGATTACAGTGAGCTGAGATTGCACCACTACACTTCAGCCTGGGTGACAGAGTGAGACTCCGTCTCAAAAAAAAAAAAAAGAGAAAACAAAAAACCAACTATCTAAGGCAGAATGGTAATAAACTGCCCAGTAATGCTTTCAGGGATAATTAAATGAGTGATGAGGGCACAATTACAAATAAGCTAACCCGAGTTACTTGGAAAGCAGATGGAAGCACCCAAGACCATACAACAAGAATGAAACCCCAGAACAGTAAACACACGGTATTCCTACCATATATGCCCCCCATCGGTGTCACCTAAACCAACATCTCTTTGACCTTTTTTTTACTCATGTGACCAGTTATTTGATTGTTTGGCTGTCAAAGTCACACCAAGATAATAAATTAGGCCTTTCAGAGCCAAAATTATATTATCTAGGGTATTACAGTGAATATAGAGTTAAATAATTTTAGTGTCCTGAAAACATTACAAAACACATATCAGAAATAAGAGCCATTCTATGTAGTGAATCGGGGGAGAAATGAGAGAAGCTCAGAGACCAACATAGAGAAAAGCAGGAGAAAGCAGAAAGCACTGGAAACAAACATGTCTGCTTGTTGGTGGTGGGCGATGGATACAAAGATACCCAGCCAGAATCCCCCTGGAACAAGCCAGGCATTAAATCTTTACAGCTGGAGTTGCATTAAATCTTTACAGCTCTAAGCTGCTTGCTGCAAACATCCTGTAGTTCTCGTCAATTCAAACTCATCCCCAACTTTCTTTTTTTTTCTACCTTACTCAGTGCGTCTGTGTCTGGGTGAACTTCAGAAATCTCTCTCTTACGTTTTCTTGCAAGACTCTTTGGCTAGTTTTATCTGAAAGTTTGTTTGTTTTTCCAGCTAGTAGTTCTTCCCCCTCTTCCCTAAGCTCTTGAAGTCTAACACTGTTTCTCTGGTCAGAGGGATCAGACAAAGAGAGCTCTGCTCCCGGCCACCCATCCGTCTCATTGATTCAAGCCACTGGGTCTGAGTGGGCCCCATCAGAGGGTGTGATGGGTTCCAGACAACCTGGACGTGCTTTTAGAAAGCAGTCAAGAGTAAATCCATAAAGCCTTATCTTTGTGTTGGAGGGGACCACATTATAAGCAAATCGTACATTTTCTTCCAATACAAAGTAAGATAGTTTCCTGCATTATTAGTGGATATTTTTGCAAGGACATATTTAAAAATATATATTGCCCAATAACCCATCATTCAGTTTAATTCCACATCCCTGCTGGGTGCCTTCCAGTCTACCTTGGGCAACTTAACATAAATATGGAAAATATAGTTTGTGTTTATGGAGCTCATCGCCCTATGAGAGAGGCCAGGCCCTCACGGAGGACGAGGTGACAGCGTGGGCACAGCCAGCTCTTGAAGAATATCATAGGTGATGAATGCTCTAGAGATCCCAAGGCCAAAGCGGCTCAGGCACACGTCATTCATTTGTTTGTAAGCACCGTCAAGGCAAAGAGACCAGGCATCTGTCTTTCATACCCCAGCCACACCCCCTGAAGCAGAGTAGATAATAGATGCTTACAAGACAGCGAGTGATTTCATCTCAGTATGTATGAACAGCTTCAATCACACAGATTTTGGGCAGATTCACTACCTAATCGGATGCGAGACTTTTCATTTCTTCTGACCTATATTAGTAAACAGCAATATAATCTTTTCTAATTACAGACACATAAAATGATTGATAAAATCCAACAATTGTATGACCCCTCCACAAAGCATTTTTTACATTCAAGCCTCACACCAGCCCCTGGAAATAGATATTATTTTTAATCTTAATTCATCCAGCATTGTGCTGGGTGCTGGGGATAGATAGGCCAGGGAAGAAAGATTCGAAGCCCCTGCTTTTATGGAGCTGACTTGCTGGTGAGAAAAAAATAAATAAATAAAACAGCAAACAAGAACAAACAAATACATCAATAATTTAAGTCATTGTTAAATACGATGAAAAAAATGGTAGTATGATAGAGAGTGATCAAGGGAGGAAGTGAGATCTCTAGAGTGGATTTGAAGGAACCAGATCTAAAGACAGGGGGTTCCAGTTAAAGGTATAATAGGAGTGTCCAACCTTTCGGCTTTCCTGGGCCACATTGGAAGAAGAATTGTTTTGGGCCACACGTAAAACACACTAACACTAACGGTAGCTAATGAGCTTTAAAAATTGCAAAAAAAATCTCTCTTTTTTTTTTTTGAGACAGAGTCTCACTCTGTCGCCCGGGCTGGAGTGCAGTGGCGCTATCTCGGCTCACTGCAAGCTTTGCCTCCCAGGTTCACGCCATTCTCCTGCCTCAGTCTCCCGAGTAGCTGGGACTACAGGCACCCGTCACCATGCCCGGCTAATTTTTTGTATTTTTAGTAGAGATGGGGTTTCACTGCGTTAGACAGGATGGTCTCGATCTCCTGACCTCGTGATCCGCCCGTCTCAGCCTCCCAAAGTGCTGGGATTACAGGCGTGAGCCACCGCGCCAGGCCAAAATCTCATGATGTTTTAAGAAAGTTTACAAATTTTTGTTTACAAAGCCATCCTGGACCGCATAAAGCCTGCAGGCCATGGGTTGAACAAGTTTGGTATAGCAGGACCAAAGACCCTGAGGTCAGACAAGGCCGGCATTTACCTGAACAGAAGGAAACCTTGATAAATAGAATGAATGGGGAGGAGAAAAGTAGAAGCTGAGGTCATAGAGGAGGCAGTGGCCAATTTAGCGAGAGGGCCTCACAGGCCAAGGGCAAGGGGTTTGAAGTTTATTATGAGTTGATGGGAGGTCAGTGGAGGGCTTTGATGTATCATTTTGGCCTCTGTGGATGATGGATGGTGGGGAGACCATGAGTGGAGGCAGGGAGGCTAGCAGGGAGGCCACTGCTGGAGTTTAGTGGAGAGATATGGTGGCTTTAATGAGAACATAATTGAAGGTACAAAAATGGGCAGATTGAAGATGTATTTGGGAGGCACAGCTAAGACTATCTGCGGATGTATTCGGTGTGGGGAATGTGGAAGAGAGAGGCTCAAATTCCCAATTTATGGTTGAAACTGACACTCAAAGGGATTAAGGAATTTCTGTCTACAGCCGCAAATACAGGGCAGGCAAGGACTCCAGGCTGGTTCTCTAATTCCCAAATGACAGCTCTTCTCATTCTTGCATGAGGATATGAGGTTTGCAGAAAGAAGGGATTCATGAGTAGTAAGTCCTCTTAATCCTCCTAGTATGGATCTAATGATTTTTTGAGGTCATGCGTAGTAAACAATGTGTAATATCCATTCAACTAGTCAGCTGATTTGTGGTTACTTGCAATAAGTCATTATTTTCAATGGGGTCGATAATACTGTCTCTGACACTAGGTGTTTGTAACCACAAAGTGCACTTCAGTTGAATTCCTTTCCGAGGTTGTTTTATGTTCAGAACCAACCTTTCGTAGTTATATCATTAGTTATTAGAGGGATACCAGGCAACAGATCGAGTTTATTTCTTGTAAGCGTTCTTGTTGCAGTCATATATTTCGTGGTTTCATTAAATCGGCCTTGGTAGACAAGCTGTTCTTTCAAATCCCTCTGTGAGCAGCAAATGCTGTGGATTGAGATCTGTATTCTCCAGATGATTTGCTAAGTCATCTCAGAAGAGTCCTCTGAACTGTGAGGTGTCCCCAGCCCTTTTGTCCCAGATCCAAGAACCAAAAAAAGAACTTGAAATGGGGATCCTGCTGATTGTGCCTACACTTGTTCATTCATTTCATAAATACTTACTGGGCCCTCCAGTGCACACCAGGCACTGTTCCAGGTGCTGGAGAGATACAAGCGAGCGAGAGAGGTCAGGCTGCTGCCTTCAGGGGGCTTCTTATTCGTGGGCAAAACAAGCATGACAAATGGGCAAACAAGATTATCACAGTTTAATACGTGATAAGTTGGTCAGGTAAGGCCTGATAAGGCAACTTATCACGTATCAAGGTTTTGGCCTCTGTGGATGATGGATGGTGGGAAGACCATGAGTGGAGGTAGGGAGGCTAGTGGGGAGGCCACTGCTAGAGTTCAGTGGAGAGATATGACCAACTTGGTTAAGTTGGTCAGGTAAGGCCTCCTCAAGGACACGGCACTTAAGCAGGAGGCTGGAAGTATAACAAAGCAGCTATGAGAGGAGCTGGGGAAATGCATCCCAGGGAGTGGGAACAGCGAGGACAGAGCCCTAAGGAAAGTGTGGTGCATTGTTTAGTACCCTGTTGGCTGCTATAATAGAGAAACCCAGGCCAGGCACAGTGGCTCATCCCTGTAATCCCAGTACTTTGGGAGGCCGAGGTGGGCAGATCACGAGGTCAGGAGTTCAAGACCAGCCTGACCAACATGGTGAAACCCCATCTCTACTAAAAATACAAAAATTAGCTGGGCGTGGTGGTGTGTGCCTGCAATCCCACCTACTCAGGAGGCTATGGCAGGAGAATCACTTGAACCCAGGAGCCGGAGGTTGCAGTGAGCCGAGATCACGCCTCTGCACTCCAGCCTGGGCAACAGAGTGAGACTCTGTCTCACAAAAAAAAAAAAAAAATAGAAACCGAGACTCACAGGGGTTTAAGCAAGATGGATATTTATTTTTCTGTCACTTAATAGCATGGGTGGACAGTTCAGGACTGATGAGATAGCTCTGCAATATTTTGGGACCCAGACTCTGCTGTGCTACAATCTGGCATTCTCAATATGTGACCCCTACCTCATGGTCCAAGAAGGCTTCTCCACTCCTGCCATCACACCTACTTCCCGGCCATTCAGAAGGGGAGAGGGGAAGAGACGGCCTCTTCCCTATGTAGAGGCATAATATCCAGAATTTGTGCGTATCTTCTCCAAAGGAGATGGAATCAGATAAGTGTGTGGTAGGCAGGTCATTCGGGACCATGTAGATCATGATAGGATATTGCGTTTTATTCCAAGAGCAGCTGGATGCCGCTGAAGGGTTTTAAGTAGTGAAGTGACATGGTCTGATTTATGTTTTTACAAGAACACTCTGGCTGCTGAGTGGAGGATGGATGAGTGGAGGATGGATGACAGAAGGGCAAAAGTGGAAATGGAAGATCATTTAGGAAGCTGTGATCTTAAGGAGCAAGGCAAGGTGGACTCAGACACTGAGACATCATATAATTGTAGCTTTAGAGTATTAACTGTTTAAAGAGACAATGAGTAAAGACTGAATGTTCATGCACCTCTTTCTAAAATACAGGGACAGCCTTTGCGTGGACAACTTACTGGATGAGCAGGTTTAAGGAATTGTATCCTATAAAAGATAGACGTGAAACCAGCCAATGTGAATGTGCCGCCAAATTGGACCTGGTTATATTTGTGGGGACCCTTAACTTAGGAATATAGAAAGCACATGAAAGTGCCTGTCAAGCTAGAGCCCTGGGCAGGGGCAGGCTCAGTCTCCCAGGAGGTTAGAGCTGGAGGCCCTCTGAGCTCATGGATTCAACCCTTGTGCTGCAGGTGGAGAAACTGATGGTAGGAGTATGGGGGGCTGTGGCTTGCCCAAGTTCAACTTTGGACAGTTGCAGAATCAAGGCAGGAAGCCAGGACTGGAAGCCGCCACTCTCACCATGCACCGTGAGGGGGTATCCTTGATGGGATGCTTTCTCCTGAATCACACATTTACCTTTTGGCCTCCTTTGCCAGCACCTCCCTTAGAACAAGTTCCCTTCTTTACCTTTCCCCAAAGTCCCCTGGCCTGTACCTCAAGTGATTCCATCAGTTACCTTGTCTTCCAAACAGGACTGGCCAGATGACGATGGTAAAGTGATTTTGAGAGATTATAACTCACGTTTGCTGAAATGTTTTGAAGTTTCAAGACAGTAGTATGCACTGTGAATGCCAGTGTTGCTCAAGATCCTAGAGACAGCCCTGGGTCCTGGAGCCCCGGCAGCCTGCTCCAAGGTCAACAGGCGGGGCCCCGGCAATTGTTTGGGGACCATTTTCACAACCTTAAGGTAATTTGTGGTTCCTCTGAGAATGCCCACTGAAGTGTTCCCCCTCAGAATGCTGTGGATGGGAGATAGAAGGAAACAAAAGAGGAGGAAGCAGTGAGGATTTTACTGGATACTGCAGATGCACTTCCACATCGGCATGGGTTCATACTGGATTATGCAAAAGTATGGATTCTGGAATGATTCATTCCCCCCAAAACCTGGAACTCGAGGGCAGCATGCTGCCTCGTTGTCCATAAAACACTCCCTTTTGTCTCTGCAGGGATCTTAAAAAAACAAAGCAAGCTTTACTGTGGCAAAACCTCCTCTACATATTATCATTGTCTGATTGGATTTTAAGCACAATGCTATCTTGGTCTACACATTTTCTTATACAAGTGACAGTAATACTAAAAATCTCAGAATTATTATCAAGAGCCTTTTGGTAGGGTGAAAGTTTCTTTTAAGTATTTTCATTTTCAGGAGTGAGTTTTCACACACACACACACGCACACACAAGTATCAGGAAACAAAAAGGAAATGTGTGCAAACTTCCAATTTAAATGTTCTACATCTTAGTTGAGATGGCTATGATACAGATACATGTATTTGGCAAAACTCATCAAACTAGGCATTTAAAATAAGTACATTTTTGGGGTACAAATTATACCTCAATGAAGTTGATTCAAAAAGTCAAAAGTAAACCAAAAATTCCAATTTTATATTCCATTAATAAGTTTTTGGTGTCTGCTTCTGGTTTTATTACCGAGGATTCTCATTTGAGTACACTCAGAATGGAACAGAGCTATTATCATCGAACGTTTCCTATACTGGGACTAAAGTCTGGCCAGGAAATTAACTTTTAACCCTAACTTTGTGCTATTTTGAGATAAAAGAAATGCACACCTCAGAACAGCAAGGTGTTACAGCACATAACTGCCTGTACAATTTAAAAACTCGATAAACCCAAAGCTTTGGTAGCAAGTCTTAGCAGGTGCTGAGAAATACGAAACGATTAATTTTTTTTTTTTTTTTTTTTTTTTTTTGTAAACCAGAAAACAAGTCTGGTGTTAAGCCTGTTGTGCAAATACTAGCATTAAATATTTTGTAGCATATCTTAGTTCCAAGTATTTCTTTTCTGTCACATTTTTCTGGTTCCTCCTGATAATCAAGGCAATATTCTTTGAACTGTTTCCTTAGAAAAGTTGTTGAAATGACCAAATTTCTAATTCCATTGGGATTTGGACACATTTCTGAAATGGCCCAGAAATCATTTTGGGGAGCCCTTAGGCTGCTGTTCCAATCCAGCACATAGGTGTGACAGCGGAGACCCACTCGGACTTCAGGGACTGCCTGCCTCCTCCCTCCACACCCATCTCCTGTCTCCCCAGGACCTGTCCTCAGGAGCTCAAAAGAAGAGGGGTCTTGGTCCTGAGAGGGTGAGGGGGCGACCGGGAGGAAGCACTTCCTCTCTGTTTCTTAAGACATCTCCCTTCCCTGGGACAACTTCCCTAAAAGGCTTTCTTTTTTTTTTTTTAACCACTTTTCCAAAGTCAGAAATGAATACATTCTGAAAATAACCCAACTTTCTTTTTATGTTTCTTTCTTTCCACCCCCACCTCAAGCCCCTAGAATGGCCAGCCCACCTGGCTAGCAAGAACTTACCTTCCTGAGCATGCCTGGGGACAGACCCTAGCACACACCCCACCCTGGGCTCGTGGCGGGACTCTGGCTCTGGCCAACATGGAGATCCCAGCCACACACTGATTTGGAGGCCTGAGTGTCAATGACAAAAGCAATCCAAACCCAAAACTCTCAAAATTGATTAAACAATGGAAAGCTTGGCTTTACATGAGATGTGTGGAAAGCATCCTGCATCCAGGTACTCACTGGAAGGCAGAAATTTAGCAGATGTTGCTATTATTATCCTTAGGGTTAATCATAGTGATTCCTGACTTACAGAATCCAAATAAAGGAAATCCACTTCATGCATCAGCCGCCAGCTGCTTTTTTTTTTTTTTTTTTTTTTTTTTTTTTTTTGAGACGGAGTCTTGCTCTGTCGCCCAGGCTGGAGTGCAGTGGTGCGATCTCGGCTCACTACAAGCTCCGCCTCCCAGGTTCACGCCATTCTCCTGCCTCAGCCTCCGGAGTAAGCCCCCAGCTGCTCTTTGTGGACACTCATTGCCCAGACCCCCACTATGGTCGATCAGTATTAATTGCATTAACAGATTTAATTATAAAATTATTTCAACTGCCTGTTTTTTTCTGTCTTCCATTCTGTGTTATAATAGTTTGCCAGGTTAGCTCCAAACACTTAATGTCTGTTACTTACTCAATATAATCCCACCCAGTACATCACCTTTACTGGGAAAGAAGCTTGTTAATCTCTGTTTACCAGTCTGCTCCCAGTTATTCAAGGACTCTCTGAACCTAAAATGTATAATATGACCTAGGTCAGAATGGCGTTCCCATAAGTGAGCACCAACAGTACGCAGCGGCTGACACGTGTGAATCCATCTCTTGTTCCCTTGAACTGTGAATCAACATGGATGTAGCCATAGTCATATCTATCACCTTTTGTGAGAAAAATTTTACTTTGAAAACAAAGTAATAGACTGTACAGTTAAAGGACAGCAGAATCCAGCAAAGGTCTGTCTGTATCACAAAGGAAAGCCACATCATGTGCTTTATTCCCATCATCAGTCAACATCCATTTTTTGTAGCTCTGGGAACCTAGGTGTCTGAGAGCCAGCGCTGCGTATTGGTAGCACTGGTTCTGCCATCTCTAAGCCCCAGGACAAGTATCCTAACAGAACTAAGCCCTGGCTTCCTCATCTGTAATAAAATAAGTACCTTCTAGTATTCTTATTTTATTGTGAAAAGACAATTCTGTGCACATATGGTTACACACACATAGACTATAATGACACTTGCATTTTATTGGTATTCACAACTTTTAAAAATTTTCCTATTTAAGACACAGCTTAAAATAATTAAAAAGAAATCATCACATAGTTATTACTGAAGATTTGCTTCTATGTTCCATAAAACATGGTTTTAAAATATAAAAAAAAGACACAGCATTGATTTCCTTCAATCTGCACTTTTTTTCCCATTTTGCTCAGCACACAACCTTTTAACTCACTCTTAAAAAAAATCCACCATAAAGGACTGGAAATTAAGAGAAGGGTGTTATATAAAAAATGCCATGTGTGCTCTGACTTACAAAGTCTTCTTCAGTCCATGAACTCACAGACAGTGTCAGCCACTGAGAGTGTCGTCGTCAAAACGAATAATAGATGTGGAAAGCCGTGGCTCCTGCTCCTGAGAGCTGGACGCCTCTTGGCTGACCTCCTGCTTGAGCCAGATCCAAGAGGTGAAGGCTGAAGCAAGAGAGCTCCCTTGAGAAAGCTCCAGAGTTTGTAGCCTACTAAACCAGCAGTGTCCTATATTACATTAATTCTCCTGATGTATTTTCCTGACATTTGTCAGCATTTCCTTCTATTTGCCAAACATGGACAAAGAGAAAACCAGGTTTTAGAAGTATGCTCATTTATAAAGTCTCTCCTGAGTCCTCACCTTTCCATCCCTTCTGCCATCACCTCAGTCAGACCCTTACCCCATCACTCAAGACAGCTGTAAGTCTCCTGGCTTGACACTTCGCTTCAATCTCACTCATCTCTGATTAAAATTGTCCCATGATCGAAAATTTTATGTTGTTTTCGTCACCATTAAAAAAACAAAAAAACAAAAAAAAAAACCCTTCCTCTTCCAAGATGCTCCAGTGCTTAACAAATCAAGTGTAAACTGATTTGAAGCGTGAGGCCCTGCGTGATATATACTGTAGGAGACCTTTCCAGCTTTATCCAATATCCATCCCTAGTACTTTGCTGTTACCCCATGATATGGTTTGACTGTGTCCCCACCCAAATCTCATCTTGAATTGTAGCTCCCATAATTCCCACATGTCATGGGAGGGACCCAGTGGGACGTAATTGAATCATGGGGGTGGGTCTTTCCTGTGCTGTTGTGATAGTAAATGAGTCTCATGAGATCTGATGGTTTTATAAAGGGGAGTTCCCCTGCATGAGCTCTCTTGCCTGCCACCATGTAAGATGTGATTTTGTTCCTCCTTTGCCTTTGCCTATGATTGTGAGGCCTCCCCAGCCATGTGGAACTGTGAGTCCATTAAACCTCTTTCCTTTATAAATTACCCAGTCTTGGTTATGTCTTTATTAGCAGCATGAGAACAGACTAATACACCACACATGCTCATTGATTTCTTGGTTTTGTGAAAGGCCCATCTCCCTCTCCCATCAGCCTTCTCTTTGCAAATTGTAGCCCCCGTTCAATGATCAGTTCAGTTGGCACTGACACCCACAGGCTTCCCTTGATCCTGTGCCCCAATCTAGATCCATAGCTCTCTCCTCTGGATGTCCTTCATGTGACTGTGCATCATAGCCTTCTGTATTTTGCCTCGGTCAGTGTTTATTCTTGACTATGAGATCCTGCAGGGTATTGTAGTATAACTGTTTCTCTGTGCCTCACAGTGCCAAGCACAGGGCCTTTTGTATAGAGCATACTAATAAAATTTCTGATTCCAACTAAATTCTTGTATGCACACATAGGAAGTGTGACTTAATATATGCATATGGAATCAAAATGATTACTTTATAGTTAGCATGTGTATGTTTGTATGCAGAAAATTCAAAACAAGTATTCAAACAAGCACAAAGTTGTGTAACTAGGAAAAACACATGCTCATTTACTCCTGACCTGTGGGGCCCAGGTTCCAGGCCCTACACTATGTGATGAAGACACAAGACAAGAAAATATGGCACCTTCTTTGAGAAGCTTCCATCTAGTCAGGGAGAAAAACCTGTGATCATATAACTGTAGCAGGCCCTATTACTCCTGACTACACTGGAGAGGCCAAAAGGAGCGTGCCTGGTTCAGCCTAGGGGTGTTCAAGGTGGTCGTATCACTGGCTGAGGGAGTGTCTGAGGGAACACACAGCCAGGGGGCTGGGAGAAGCAGGGTGGGTCAGAGCACAAAGAGACTTGTTCATCATTTCGAGGCGCCTGTGCTTTCTACTAGAGATAGTCACTGAAGCAGAATGAGAGGATCCTACGCAGTTTCAGAAACATCCCCCTGAGGGCCAGGTGGAGGATGAAATGGGGGGAAGAAGGCAAGATGGCGGGCAGCCATGAGACCATGGCAAGAACTCTCAGACTGGAAATGAGGCTGGCTTGAGGGAAATGGGAGACGGGAGCATTTGAGAATGTGGAGATTGCATGAGAAGGGATGGCTTTTGGGTGAGTGAGGATGGCTGGCCTGCCTGTTCACCCGCTGGGAGCCTGGTGAGGTCTCATCCACTTACCATGTTGTCTGGGCTAGAGAGAGGTAGCACCTGTAGAAACCGCAATTAGGGGTCCTATGCTTTTGTTTAACTTTCTGGAAATAGAACAGGCCTCCCTTTTAATACATCTGTTATTCAGCCTTTAGATATTCTGCTTTCAAGCGCGTAATCAGGAATGCATTAGAATAAAGCAGTTAGGAGCAGAGTAACAGAAGGGTTAAAGTATTTAACTTCTCCAGGCCTGTTTCCTCTGTAAAATGAGAAAGAAGATAATAATAGCACCTATTTCACAGAGGAGCTACAAAAATTAAAGAAGTTAATGAATGTAAATTGCTCAGCCTAGGGCCCTGCATAAAATGTGCACTTAAGACATCAGTTACTTTTTTTTCCTGTGTGATTGGTGAGGAAGGTTGAGAAAAGCATGAGGACTCCTTAGCTCTTCCGAAATACAGTCATGTGCTGTGTAAGGACGATTCAGTCAACCACAGACTGTGTGTACAGTGGTGGTCCTATGAGATTATAATATGGTTACTTTTACTGTACCTTTTCTGTTTAACTACCTGTAGATACACAAATACTACCATTGCGTTACAATTGCCTACAGTATTGAGTACAATAACATGCTCTACAGATTTGTAACCTAGGAACCATAGACCTTACCATATAGCCTAAGTGGGTGGTAGGCTCTGCCATCTAGGTTTGTGGAAGTGCATTCTGTGACGTTCCCACAATAACAAAGTTGCCTAACAAGACTCATTTCACAGAGTGTATCCCCATCACTAAGCAACACATAACTAGTACTTGCTACAGTTGCAATATAGGCAAAGCCTCCCTTCTTAAATATAAATAAGCACACTTTTCAATTCGGAGATGTATTTTGTATACTAAATTTGAAGACATTGTTTTGCCTTTTTGTAGGGAGAGCTGGAGATTCTGCTCTTATATCCAGAGTGGCATCCGTGTGACATAGTCATTCTTTGTATGTGTGCCTTTAGCCTATGGGTCATTGTCAGAATTTAGAAATTCAAGGTGCAGCCAGTTACATTGCTAGAGAGATGGAATATTTCAGAGTCTCTGCAAGCTTCCTTTAAGAAAAATGTCTTCTTTTGGAAAGCCATTCAGAAAACATACTCAGTAGGACAGTTTCAACTTATTAAACTTTCAGGAAATTTTTTTAATTGTCTCACACTGTCTCTTTTGCTGTATAAATTTTAACAGCAGGGTAAAGAGAGAAGCGTTCTTGAATTTCACTAGCTGCGGAGAAAATATTTCTCACTGCCCTGGGATACATAGGAAATCACAGTCGTTAGTTTCAGATGTTTAGTTTGGGATATTCAGGTGCATTCACAATACCTTTTGATTCATTATTACTTTAAACCATTTGTGGTTTGATCCTACAAATTGAGGACTTTTCTCCAGATGTGAAAAATACAATAAAATTTTCTAACAGAGGGGATCTCGAGAAGAAGTTATCTTTATTTCTGCAGTTTCTACAAGAGTCCATAAACCCCTTTAGAACATGGCAAAAACTGCAGATTGGCAGCCATGGGTTGGCTGGACTGAAAGGGAAGGGGGCTCACATTTAATTTAGAGCATAAGAATAAGCTAAACAGCAAGGCAGTGACAAATGATACAACAAGCAACAACTCCTAGCTGACTGCTCCGAAATAAACACATGGATTCCAGGCCTCACCTAGACCAAGAACATATTCTGCAACTAAAATTAAACCTTCGGGACATGCAAACTCTTTAGGGAAAGGAGTGGAAGAAGGAGAAGAAGAAGGAACTCAGAGGTTACCAAGCAATTGAGTGGTGAAGAGAACAGGCATGAAGAAAAGAGAACAGGTGTGAAGCAACGAAGGAAATTGCTTCTCCAAATGAAAAGTTTTGAAACACAGCCCTCACCAACCTCAGAAAAATGCTAACTCTGAAATAGGAAATGGAGACGGAATTGGAAATGGAACGTGAGGAATATCAGTAAACCCTTGTAACTGTGCGATCAACTTCTTTGTAAGATTTTTAAACTCAAAAGTAAACACTTTTAAAAACTTAAAAGTGTAAGATTTTAAAGTGGTATAAAGATCTTAATTAGGCATTTAGGTAGTGCATGCTGTGGAGCCCCAAACTTACAGAAGTGACACCAGAAAAAGCCAGAATGATCCCTTTCTGTGTTCCAGTACTTGTGGGAAAAAATTATTTTTATTAATTTGTAAAGGGCTAAAATATTTATGGACTAAATTCAGATGAGTAAAAAGATGAAGGTGTTAGAGTCGCTTTTCTTTCTTTTTTTTCTTTTTCTTTTTTTTTTTTGAGACAGTTTCTCTCTTGTTGCCCAGGCTGGAGTGCAGTGGCGTGATCTTGGCTCACTGCAACCTCTGCCCCCCAGATTCAAGTGATCTCCTGCCTCAGCCTCCCAGGTAGCTGGGATTACAGGCACCCACCACCATACCCAGCTAATTTTTGTATTTTTAGTAGAGACGGGGTTTCACCATGTTGACCAGGCTGGTCTTGAACTCCTAACCTCAGGTGATCACCCACCTCAACCTCTCAAAATGCTGGGATTACAGGCATGAGCCACCATGCCCAGCCTAGAGTTGTTTTAATTTTCTATATCGGGTCTCATCTTGTTCTGAGGCATCCATTTCTATGTTCTTGGTTTGGGTTGAGGGGAGATTGAAGCTTGCACTTAAAGTCAACTAAGTCTCTCATTTAAAAAGTGTTTCTTTTAGGTGAATTCAGTCTCTCTGAGGCAAATACTCAATCTCTCTGCCTTCATATCTCCTTTCCAGAGTGTCAAGGGGCCCGGGATTACACGCAGTCTTCAGGGTCTGTCTTCATCTCCTAGGCTGTCATAACAAAGTACCACAAACTGGGTGGCTTACAGCAATACAGATTTATCCTCTCACAGTTCCGGAGCCCAGAGCTCTGAAATCAGGGTGTCAGTAGGGGTGGGTCCTCTTGGGGACTCAGAGGGGGAACTGTTCTTCTCTTCCAGCTTCTGATCGTTACTGGAAGACCTTGGTTTTTCTGGGCTTGTAGAAGCATAATTTTACTCTCTGCCTGTGTCTCCACCTGCCTTTCTCCCTGTGTGTGTGTCTGCGTCTTCTCTTTTTATAAGGACAACAGTCACTGGGTTAGGGCTTACCTTAACTAAAGATGACCTCATCTTAACTCGACCATTGTATTAGTCCGTTCTCACGCTGCTATGAAGAAATGCCCAAGACTGGGTAATTTGTAAAGAAAAGAGGTTTAATTGACTCACAGTTCTGCATGGCTGGGGAGTCCTCAGGAAACATACAATCATGGCAGAAGGCAACTCTTCACAGGGCGGCAGGAGAGAGAGAATGAGTGCCAGCAGGGGAAATGCCAGACGCTTATAAAACCATCAGATCGGCCGGGCACGGTGGCTCACGCCTGTAATCCCAGCACGCCTGTAATCCCAGCACTTTGGGAGGCCAAGGCGAGCAGATCATGAAGTTAGGGGTTCGAGACCAGCCTAGCCAATACAGTGAAACCTGTCTCTACTAAAAATACAAAAAAACTAGCTGGGCATGGTAGTGCGTGCCTGTAGTCTCAGCTACTTGGGAGGCTGAGGTAGGAGAATCACTTGAACCTAGGAGGCAGAGGTTGCAGTGAGCTAAGATTGACTCTAGCCTGGGCAATAGAGGGAGACTCCATCTAAAAAAAAAAACAAAAAACAAAACCCATCAGATCTCATGAGAACTCACTATCACGAGAACAGCATGGGGGAAACCACCCCCATGATTCAATTACGTCCCCCCAGGTCCCTCCCTTGACATGTGGGGATTACAGTTCAAGGTGAGATTTGGGTGGGGACACAGAGCCAAACAGTATCAACCACATCTGCAAAAACTGTCTTTCCATAAAAAGGTCACACTCACAGGTAATTTGACATAGCTTTTTGGGGCACACAACTCAACCTGTAATAGGATCCTTACAGGTCTTTGCTGTGGTGGCTATGCTGGTCTGGTGGCCACCCTTGTGGCGCTGAGGTGCTGAGGTTGGGGGATGTTCTGCCGTGGCTTATTAAAGGGCATAGTGCTAGCCATCTCCCATTCTTCCTGCATCTGTACTGCGTGCAGGCTGCAGGGGAGCACAGCACTACCTAAGCCCCATCCAACAGACAAGTGTGGCTCTCTTAACAGGGGGACTTACTACTCGTGTGCCAAATTCAATGCTGCTAATAGGAAGCTTGAAAGCAAACAGTCTATGCTTTGGCAAGGAGGATCCACTCTCACTCCAGCCCCATGTTTCAACGTTTAAAGGGAAGCCAGAATACATACACAGATGGTCTCCAACTTATGATGGTGCAACTTACAACATTTTTACTTTACCATGGTGCAAAAGCAATACCCATTCAGTAGAAACCGTCCTTTGAGTACCCATACAACCACTCTTTTCATTTTCCCTACAGTATTCAATAGATTGCATCAGATATTCAACATGCTATTTTTTTTTTAAACGGAGTTTCGCTTTTTGTTGCCCAGGCTGGAGTGCAGTGGTGTGATCTCAGCTCACTGCAACCTCCACCTCCTGGGTTCAAGCGATTCTCCTGCCTCAGCCTCCCGAGTAGCTGGGATCACAGGCATGTGCCACCACACCTGGCTAATTTTGTATTTTTTTAGTAGAGACGGGGTTTCTCCATGTTGGCCTGGCTGGTCTCAAACTCCCAACCTCATGTGATCCGCCTGCCTCGGCCTCCCTAAGTGCCGGGATTACAGGCGTGAGCCACCACGCACGGCCTCAACATTCTATTATAAAATAGGTTTTGCATTAGATGATTTTGCCCAATTGTAGGCTAATGTAAGTGTTCTGAGCACATTTAAGGTAGGGTGTGTTTGGTAAGTTGAGTGTATTAAATGCACTTTTATTCTGACAATATACAAGACAGTAATATTATTTTTTGACTGAATTAGTGGCTGAATTAATAAGTGAAAGACAAAAGGACTGCTTTTGCAGGGTGAGCTCAAAAACGTACGATGGGTTTACTGGGATGTAGCCCCTTCATGCTGGAGGAACCTCTGTACGTGTGTTTCCTTAGGGCTTTGCAATCACTGTTCCTTCTATCTGGAATGCTTTTTTCCTTGGGTTCCTTTTGAGAGGTGACAGCGTGCTGGCAGTCCTCAGAGCCCTCGCTTGCTCTCGGCACCTCCCCTGCCTGGGCTCTCACTTTGGTGGCATTTGAGGAGCCCTTCAGTCCCCCACTGCACTGTGGGAGCCCCTTTCTGGGCTGGCCAAGGCTGGAGCCCACTCCCTCAGCTTGCAGGGAGGTGTGGAGGGAGAGGCACGAGCGGGAACTGGGGCTGCGTGCGGGCCAGCTGGAGTTCCGGGTGGGCGTGGGCTTGGTGGGCCCCACACTCTGAGCAGCCAGCCAGCCCTGCTGGCCCCGGGCAATGGGGGACTTAGCACCCGGGCCAGTGGCTGCGGAGGGTGTACTGGGTCCCCCAGCAGTGCCGGCCCACCGGCGCTGCGCTCGATTTCTCGCCGGGCCTTGGCTGCCTTCCCATGGGGCAGGGCTCGGGACCTGCAGCCCGCCATGCCTGAGCCTCCCACCCACTCCATGGGCTCCTGTGCGGCCCGAGCCTCCCCGACGAGCGCCACCCCCTGCTCCACAGCGCCCAGTCCCATCGACCACCCAAGGGCTGAGGAATGTGAGCGCACGGTGCAGGACTGGCGGGCAGCTCCACCTGCAGCCCCAGTGCGGGATCCACTAGGTGAAGCCAGCTGGGCTCCTGAGTCTGGTGGGGACATGGAGAGTCTTTATATCTAGCTCAGGGATTGTAAATACACCAATCGGGACTCTATATCTAGCTCAAGGTTTGTAAATACATCAATCAGCACCCTGTGTTTAGCTCAAGGTTTGTGAGTGCACCAATCGACACTCTGTATCTAGCTGCTCTGGTGAGGACGTGGAGAACTTTTATGTATAGCTCAAGGATTGTAAATACACCAATCGGCACTCTGTATCTAGCTCAAGGTTTGTAAATACACCAATCAGCACCCTGTGTTTAGCTCAAGGTTTGTGAATGCACCAATCGACACTCTGTATCTAGCTGCTCTGGTGGGGCCTTGGAGAACCTGTGTGTGGAAACTCTGTATCTAACTAATCTGATGGGGATGTGGAGAACCTTTGTATCTAGCTCAGGGATTGTAAACGCACCAATCAGTGCCCTGACAAAACAGGCCACAGGGCTCTACCAATCAGCAGGATGTGGGTGGGGCCAGATAAGAGAATAAAAGCAGGCTGCCCGAGCCAGCATTGGCAACCCGCTCGGGTCCTCTTCCACACTTTGGAAGCTTTGTTCTTTCACTCTTTGCAATAAATCTTGCTACTGCTCGCCCTTTGGGTCCACGCTGCTTTTATGAGCTGTAACACTCACCGCGAAGGTCTGCAGCTTCACTCCTCAGCCAGCAAGACCACGAACCCACCAGAAGGAAGAAACTCCGAACACATCTGAACATCAGAAGGGACTGACTCCAGACGCGCCACCTTAAGAGCTGTAACAGTCACCGCGAGGGTCCGCGGCTTCATTCTTGAAGTCAGTGAGACCAAGAACCCACCAGTTCCGGACACACTTTCACCTGGCTCAGAGCTCAAATGTAATCTCCTCAGAGTGGCCTTCCCTGCTCCTGCTACCTAGAGTAGCATCTCCCCGTCTCACTCTCTCCCTTCTCCTGCTTTATTTTCTTGGTAAAATATCATTTCAGAGCACGAGGCTTTCTTTAAGCAAAGGACAGACATTTTGCTTATTGCTCAACTAGTTTTTGAGCTCATCCTGAAAAAAGTAGCTTTTTTGTCTTTCACTTATTAATTCAGTCAAAAAATAATATTACTGTCTAGCAGGCTGGGCGTGGTGGCTCATGCCTGTAATCCCAGCACTTTGGGAGACCAAGGTGGGCAGACTCCCTGAGGTCAGCAGTTCGAGACCAGCTTGGCCAACATGATGAAACCGCGTCTCTACTAAAAATACAAAAATTAGCCAGGCATGGTAGAATGTGCCTGTAATCCCAGCTACTTAGGAGGCTGCAACAGGAGAATCACTTGAACCTGGGAGGCAGAGGTTGCAGTGAACCAAGATCGCACCATTGTACTCCAGCCTGGGCAAAAGAGTGAGACTCCATCTCATATATACTTGAGATGTATATATATGTATATATGTATACTTTTATATATATGTATACGTGTATATATGTATGTGTATACATGTATACATGTATGTGTATACGTGTATACATGTATGTGTATGCATGTATACATGCATGTGTATGCATGTATACATGCATGTGTATGCATGTATACATGCATGTGTATGCATGTATACATGTATGTGTATGCATGTATACATGTATGTGTATGCATGTATACATGCGTGTATGCATGTATACATGCGTGTATGCATGTATACATGCGTGTATGCATGTATACATGTGTGTATGCATGTATACATGTGTGTATGCATGTATGCATGTGTGTATGCATGTATGCATGTGTGTGTATGCATGTATGCATGTGTGTGTATGCATGTATGCATGTATGTGTGTGCATGTATACATGTATGTGTATGCATGTATGCATGTATGTGTATGCATGTATGCATGTATGTGTATGCATGTATGCATGTATGTGTGTGCATGTATACATGTATGTGTATGCATGTATATAGGTGTACATGTGTATGCATGTATATAGGTGTATATGTGTATGCATGTATATATGTGTGTATATGTGTACATGTATATATGTATGTGTACATGTATATATGTATGTATGTATACATTATGTATACATATCTGTCAAGCATAATGTCAGAATTAGCAATATTGATTAAATTATGTAGTCCTTGAAGGTAGAAACTCTTTTTCACTATTGAATCCTCACCACCTGGCATACAATAGATACTCAATAATTCCTTGTGTGGGTGATAAATGAATGGGATTCCATAACAAAGTTGATCTGTGTAAGACTTTTATTTCACTCTTTCTATAAAATTAAGTCCACAATTTTTCCATGGATCCTTGCCCAAGACCACATGTTGAAAAGAACTTATACGAATGGCAGATAGCATCACGGCTAAAGAAATAGAATCTTTTGAAGACAATAACTATTTTACTTTTAAAATTGCTCACAAATTAAAGAATGCTGGTAGAGATAACAAAGATGATTTCCAGGAGTAAGAGGCCATCATGCAGTTTGTGATTTCCAGATACTTTTGCAGAAAGGCAACCATGCTGTAGAGTCAGTAGCAGAGTTTTCACCACCTGTCTAAGACAGAGGAAAATGACCCCAAAAAAAAAAGGCAACTTCAGGCCCTTCTTCAAAAATGCAAATCCAGGGCTACTTCCAGCTGTCTCCATAGCATGGCAAAACAATATTCCCAGCCAAGCTTCAAGCCATTAAGAAAAACCATCACAGCTGTGCGCGGTGGCTCACGCCTGTAGTCCCAACACTTTGGGAGGCCCAGGAAGGCGGATCACGAGGTGAAGAGATTGAGACCACTCTGGCCAACATGGTGAAGCCCTGTCTCTACTAAAAATACAAAAATTAGCTGGGCGCGGTGGTGCATGCCTGTAGTCCCAGCTACTCAGGAGGCTGAGGCAGGAGAATCGATTGAACCTGGGAAGCAGAGATTGCAGTGAGCCAAGATGAAGCCACTGCACTCCAGCCTGGTGACAGAACAAGACTCTGTCTCAAAAAAAAAATAAAAGAAAAGAAAAACCATCACATATGTTTGGCAGGGGCCAACATATCCATGGGGTTCAGTAGGCCCACAGTACTTCCAGGGACCCACAAAAGTGTTCTAATAACATTTAAAATCAGAAGAAAAAAATGAACTGTTAAGTCAAAGGAAAAATGTTCTAATATATAATATGTTAATACATAATATCATTATATTCATCTTTATACCAACACAGTCCTAAAATATTACTTTTGATTTTTTTTTAATGGAGGAAGAAAACCTTGAAAGCAAAAGTGCCTAGGGCCTGTGAAAGTCATCACATGACCCTGATTTGGCGTCTGCTTTGCCTTAAAAAAGCATTCTAGACAGATATTCAGCTGGAAATACTGAAATGGGCTCATGCCAAAAGAACTAGATCTCTTGTTATCCAGAAAACCATATTTTCTAGGCAGATTCATTTCCCCCAAGATGCCTAAGAGTCATGATAACATATTTTAGAGGCGAGATTAATGCGATCGCCCCATAAAATATTTTAAGCTCTCATCTGTTCTGAAACAAAGTACGCAACATGTCACCAAGAGAAAATGACTGCTCATACCGAGAAAATGTATTTTCTTCGAGGTGCCACAGCCACTGTAATTTGCACCTCCTGAAGTGTAGATGGAAGTCCCCTCAACATGTACAGACAGTTAAAAGAGTCACGGTAATGATAGGACTAGAGAATGTGCCCAGCTGAGAAAATAAGCACACAGCGAGCATTGTCAGAGCTGAAAATTAAGATCCCCCAAGCAAACATTTCAGATAGAGCCCCTCATCTTTTGTTAAAAGTAAAATGAAAATCAACAGCCCTCTACACCACATCTGAGCCATGGAAGTCACTCCCTTTAGGTGTCTAAGAGACGACTGCAGCTTCAGTGCCTGGCTCAGATTAGCTTTGTTCTTCCTTGTCTCTTATCCTTTGAATAGCTCTGACAGTGCCACAAGGAGTAATTACCAATTCGCAGGGGGACACATCTTCAGTTAAAGTGGATTATCTGCAAGTTGAGGGGTGGGGGTTGCTGGCGGCTACAACTGAGTTAGGTATTAAGTATAATCTGCAAATGCAGGGAGAGTTCTGCAGAGCCCCAGGCAGTTCTTAACTTTCTAGAAGTAGCTCCCAGCTGAGGCCTCCCCTGGTCTCCAGGCATCTGGATAATGTCTTAACTGGTAGAGTGATGGTTAAGAGCATGAGTTTTGGGGGCAAATTTCCTGGTTTTATGCACTGGCACTTCCTAGCTCATGTGATTCTGGGCAAGTTACTTCACTACAGTGAGCGACAATCAGAATGGGTCCAAAATTGTACCAGCCATAGCAAGGTGCTGCAGATGTAGCAGGACGAATTGCAGACAAAACTCAGACACCAAGTTAAAGAAGGAAGAGGTTTATTCAGCCGGGAGCATCGGCAAGACTCCTGTCTCAAGAGCCAAGCTACCCGAGTGAGCAATTCCTGTCCCTTTTAAGGGCTCACAACTCTAAGGGGGTTCCGTGTGAGAGGGTCGTGATCTATTGAGCAAGCAGGGGGTATGTGACAGGGGCTGCATGCACCGGTGGTCAGACTGAGACAGAACAGACCAGGAAGTTTCACAGTGTCTTTCTATACAATGTCTGGAGTCTATAGATAACATCAGTTGCTAGGTCAGGGGTCGAATTTTAACTACCAGGCTTAGGTCAGGCGGGCCCAGGCCTGGTTTCGGGTCTGGTTCCTAGGCACTGGGCTACCTGCCTTTAGTTTCGCTTCTCTTTCCTTTTCTGATTATAGAACAATATAAAACAATATGAGAGGGTCTGTCTCTCTTCTCTCACAAACATTAATAAGACATTGTGTTTCAAATGCTAAGCATACATCTAATACATGGTAATAACCCCAAGAATCTTTAGCTGTTACCATTATATTTTTATATTTTTTTTAATTAAAATTGAATCCCTTTTTTTTTTTTTTTTTTTTTTTTTTTTTTGTCTTTTGTGACAGAGTGCCTCTATTGCCCAGGCTGGAACGCAGTGCTGTGATCTTGGCTCACTGCAACCTCCGCCTCCCAGGTTCAAGCCATTCTCATGCCCCAACCTCCCAAGTAGCTGGAATTACAGGGGTGTGCCACTACACCTGGCTAATTTGTGCCACTACACCCGGCTAATTTGTGCCACTACACCTGGCTAATTTTTGCATTGTTAGTAGAGACAGGGTTTCGCCATGTTGGCCAGGATGGTCTCGAACTCCTGGCCTCAAGTGATCCAAAGTGCTGGGATTACCAACATAAGACATGGCACCCAGCCTCTGTTATCATTATTAAGCATTCATTTAAGCCAAGATCTAAGGGGAACCAAGGCCCAGTAGCAAATCTGCTAATACTCAGGAAATGGGTTTGTGAGAAATGTTGCTGTTCTTTATCATTATTATTATTATTATTATTATTATTATTATTATTACTATTACTGCTACATTCACTATGAGAAAACATTCACGTCTCAGAAATAACAGTAATAAGGGGTAAGCATTGCCAGGAGGAGGCAGAAGGCACATACTGGCCAAGTCCGGCTCTACGCCCTGTGTGTACAGATATGTCTTCCAACTTTCGAAAAGTCTTTGTAAAGGTTTTCGCTGATTTGAGCTGTTTTCAGCTAAGTCACCAGAACATCCAGAATCTAATTTTAAATGAAGGTTATTATAATGTCCCTCAGTTTCGTAGCCTCTTATTCAAGAGAGATTAGAATTCTGTGAAGGAAAAGCTTTGTTTTAAGTTCCAAGGGATGTAAAGATTTGCTAGGCTGTCTTTAAATCCCATTTGGGAACTCACCATTTATATAAAAATGGATGACATATAATGTGTCTTTGGGAACAGTGAACTCTGAAGAGAAAGATATGGTCAAATGGCCCGGCCTCCTCCCACCTCGGAGGATACACTGCACCCTCTTCCTACCCCTGATTTGGCCCTTTCACAAATCTCAGCTCTAGACTGAGGCAGAAGGACATAAAGATGCCCATTTCCAAAGCTCTCCGGCTCCCCAGTGCCTCTGGTTCTATCCATCTTTGTGACCTGACGTCTCAGTGGCTGGGTCCCAGATAGGGAGCTCTGGTCTCCGGTTCCTGGAGGCTGAGCCTGAATCCCTCCACGCAGAAAGAGAGTCAGGGACAGCACCGGGGGCTGAATCCCTGCCCCACCTTCTAGCAGAGTGACCTCAGTCAGGTGACTTTACTCCTCAGGCTGTTTCTTTTCTGGATAACAAAAGGTCATTCAACCCCATCTTGTGGATTTTCTGTGGAGATTTAGTTAGATAAAGGACTGGCACACAGGGTGAAGTGAGGCAGCCTTCCCCTCTTCCGCACAGTGCCACACAGAACAGGGGTCTGAGGACTTGCCTTCTCCCCTGCATGGCTGGTCCCCCCCTACCCCTGCCCTTCCCTGGTGTTTCCACCGCACCCCACCAGCTGGAATGACATCCAGGATTGAACTCAATAGCCCCTTGGCTTACAGGGCCACTTTCTCCACACCTACCCTGGCAGACTTGATCTCATATTTGCTTTCAGTATAAGATCCAGTTGAGCATCCTTCCATTAATGCCCCACAGAACAAGTCTCAGCCTTCTCCCTGGTGCCGGCCTTTCCAACACCTGAAGGCAGTGACGGTGTGCTTCTAGAGTCTTCTCTTCCCCACATTCAGCATCCACAGTTCCTTCCAGTCTGCTTCACATGACACCGTCTCAAGCATGGTGCCATCCTCAAAACACACCCCGGTTTATTATTGCTTTCCTGCTCAAGATGCTCTGTCCAGAACTGATCACCTCTCTGGGGTATGCTGACCACCCCAGGGGATGGTCTCAGAAACCACTTTCTAAATTGGAATATAGACTCCATCCTTTTCATGACTCAGTCAGGTCTCACTCTTAATTCCTAAATCCCAAATAATTAACAAAAATACCAGAGTCCTGAGGGGTTGCTGGAAAACAAAACTGGAAAAAAAAATCCAGTTTTCTTCTATCAGCCCCATTGTCCCAACAAAGGAGGGGGAGAGGAGGCTACGTGCAGTTACCAGGTGTGTCCTATACAATTTGGTATTGAAGGTGATTGGGGTGGGGGAAGGCACGATGGCATTTCCAAATATAGAAATTGGTTATTCGTTTCTGCTAAACTGTATTTAGTTATATCTAGGGAAATCATTTCAGCCTCTCGGAGTCCCTTTGGCTCACGATAATGTCCTCTTGAGTGGAGCCATCCCTTTTTACTAAATGCCATATGGCACATTCATCAATGTGCCATTGATGTCTTTATCCAAGTTAATAAAATGATTAAATGTAGGCTTGGAATCACCACTAAAATTCTCCTTGAAGCCAATTTCTACCTATTTATCAAATTCCACCACTGTTCATCTCATGATTAATCTACCTTTAAAATACTCTCATGCATCACTGAACGACAGGGATACGTTCTGAGAAGAGTGTCATTAAGCAATTTCATCATTATGCGAATACCACAGAGTGCACTTACACAAACCCAGAAGGTGCAGCCTTCTACACACCCAGGCTCTGTGCTACAGCCCATTGCTCCCAGGCTGCAGACATGTGCAGCACGCCACTGCACTCAATACTGTAGGCAACGGTAACACAACGGTATTTGTTCACTAAACATAGACAAAGTATGGTAAAAATATGATATAAAAGATAAAAATTGGCTGGGCGTGGTGGCTCATGCCTGTAATCCCGGCACTTTGGGAGGCCGAGGCAGGCGGATCACAAGGTCAGGAGATCGAGACCAGCCTGGCCAGCATGGTGAAACCCCGTCTCTAGTAAAAATACAAAAAAAATTAGCTGGGTGTGGTGGTGTGTGCCTGTAGTCCCAGCTACTCGGGAGGCTGAGGCAGGAGCATCGCGTGAACCTGGGAGTTGGAGGTTGCAGTGAGTCAATATCACACCACTGCACTCCAGCCTGGGGACAGAACAAGACTCCGTCTCAAAAAAAATAAATAAAAAATAAAAGTAAAAATTGGTACCCCTATATAGGACACCTAACAGGAATGAAGCTTGGCAGGACTGGAAGTTGCTCTGGATGAGTGAGTGGGTGGTAAGTGAATATGAAGGCCTAGGACATTATACTACTGTAGATTTTATAAGCACTGGACACTTTGGCCACATTAAATTTACCTTTTACAATTTTCTTTCTTTAATAATAAATTAACCAGCTGGGTGCAGTGGTTCATGTCTGTAATCCCAGCACTTTGGGAGGCAGAGGAGGGTAGACCACTTGAGGTCAGGAGTTAAAAACCAGCCTGATCAACATGGTGAAACCCCGTCTCTACTAAAAATACAAAAATTAGCCTGGTGTGGTGGCATATGCCTGTAATCCCAGCTACTCGGGAGGCTGAGGCAGGAGAATTGCTTGAACCCAGGAGGCAGAGGTTACCGTGAGCCGAGATTGTGCCACTGCATGCACTCCATCCTGGTCAGCAGAGGAAGACTCCATCTCAAAATAAATAAATAAATAAAATAAATTAACCTTAGCATACTGTACCTTTTCTAACTTTATAGACTTCTTAATGTTTTCAAACTTTTTCACTTTTTCATATTTTTGTCTAACACTTAGATTAAAACACAAACACATTATACAGCTGTAAAAAATATTTCTTTTTATATGCGTATTCTATAAGATTTTGCTATTTAAAAATTTGTTTTTAACTTTTAAGACTTTTTTATTGAAAACTAGGACACAAATGCACACATTTGCTTTGGCCTCCACAGGGTGAGGATCATCAATACCACTGTCTTCCACCTGCACACCTTGTCACACTGGGAGGTCTTCAGGGGCAGTGACACACATGGAGCTGTCATCTCCTGTGATAACAATGCCTTCTTCTGGAATAGCTCCTGAAGGACCTGCCTGAGGCTGTTGTACAGTTACCCTTTTTAAAAATAAAAAATTTAAAAAAAGTAGGCCAGGTGCAGTGGCTCACACCTGTAATCCCAGGACTTTGGGAGGCTGAGGCAAGCAGATCATGAGGTCAGGAGTTCGAGACCAGCCTGGCCAACGTGGTGAAACCCCGTCTCTACTAAAAATACAAAAATTAGCCAGGTGTGGTGGCGGGCGCCTATAATCCCAGCTACTTGGGAGGCTGAGGCACAAGAATCGCTTGAACCCAGTAGGTGGAAGTTGTGGTAGCTCAGATTGTGCCACTGCACTCCAGCCTGGACGACAGAGCGAGACTCAGTCTCAAAAAACAACAACAACAAAAAAGAAGTATACTCTAAAATAATGATAAAAAGCACATTATGATAAATGCCAGGCAATAGAAAAATTTCAGCTCCATTATAATCTCCTGGGACCACCCTCCTACATGTGGTTCATCCTTGACCAAAGCATCATTATGTGGTGCCTGACTGTACTACTCAAACATATTACAATGAGACCATATCTATTTGTCTTGACCACAAAAATGTCATGAGAAACTTACTAAAATGCTTTGCTGAAATTTAGATGGCCTCTCTCAGTGCTCTCCCACCTAGGAGGCTATTACCTCAATCTGAAAATAAAGGAACTGGCTTTAGGGGTTCAGCAGTGAGAATAGGTGTTGACAGGAAGAAGTATCCAAAGGCCTCCCAGTGGGTCTCCGGACTGTGTCCCTTGGTGGCATCCAGGGTGGTTGCGATCGTATGGTTTAAATTTTGTGATGATCCACTGGAGCTTCAAGTTCAGCCTCAAAGCATTAGGCTCTGTTTTCTGAACATCATTTTATATGGCAAGGTCCCGAGATTCTAATTTTTTCTTGTGTTAATTATGTGACATAGAGCGTCAGTTAAGGGAACCATCCAATACACTTTCCAGAAACAGTTCTCCCTCTCAGTTTCTTCATGTGCTTGACTGGCTCATGGCCCTGGGGAAACCATCACTTTCAATCCCTACCTCAGGTCCATTTCGTGATGTTTATGCTTTCATGCGATCTTAGTCCTCAAAGGATTTTTTTTTTTTCTCTTGGGTAAGATAGCTTTAGAGGCCTTCTGGGATAGGAATTATAATACAACTGAGAACAAAGGAAGAAAAATAAAAAGTGAACTACTTTCTGTTTTACTGAATCATTCAACTTGACATTATCTGGAAATACAAAAATTTGCTAACACACTTTTCCTAGCCTACACTTTGTTATGCTGCTTGTGAAATGTATGAGGTCAACACCTTTCTACCCTTTTTTCCCCATTGTCGCAAATTCTCCTGCTGTCCAGAGTTAGTTTCAAATGACCCTCTGCTAGTCTTGGCCGGCATACCTACCAGTGGCTTGGAGAGGAATTAAGGAAAAGCTTGAAAACTGAAGCTCATTTTTTTTTATGGTGTTGGCTAGAGTTTAACGTGGTTCTCCAAAGCCAAAAAAACATTTTAGCAGAAGCGGAGCACACACAGAGATAAATTATTTTTCTGTACTACATTTCAGTTGGTAATTTCGTACACAGGATTCTATTTCTGCTGCTATCAAGTTAAAATGCAAAAGTGGAAACATTCCAATGAGTAAGAAGCAGGTCTGTTCATTCCCAGCTCATGAGAAACTCAGGACGCACATTAGTGTTCTGTTTCCCAGCAGCAAATAGCCAGGACATATAGCTTCAATTTACTGGGATTCGAAGAAGTCAAATCAGACCTGATTTCCCATGAAGTAAATCATAGCACCCAGCTCTGTGGTTTGAGTGACAGGTACATCCATTATTCTGAAAGGTCTTGTTACTTTCAGCAGAGCTTGTTATTCTTAGCGCTAAAAAATCATGCCATGTGACAGGGCACCTGAGGCTGAGGAATGGGGCACCAGCACCTTCCAGGCTTTCTATCTTACATCTGACAACTTGAAACATCCAGGAAAGAAGTGGAAAATCCACATATCAGATGTGTGCTCCTACCCATTCCAAATGTCTGGTGTTTGGGAAACATTTAAGGGATCATAAATTCTCTTTTGTGTCAATGTTTTTGGTACTGTGTAATTACAACTATATATGTATAGTTATGTATATATGTATGTTATACTATATATAAAACTATAGTTACATATATGTATATATACAACTATATAAATATATAAACTATAAATATAAAATATAAATATATATATTTTTATATATATATAGTATATTATATATATACAATTTTTTTTGAGACAGAGTCTTGCCCTGTTTCCCAGGCTTGAGCGCAATGCCGTGATCTCGGCTCACTGCAACCTCTGCCTCCCAGGTTCAAGTGATTCTCTTGCCTCAGCCTCCCGAGTAGCTGGGATTACAGGCGTCCACCACCACGCCCAGCTAATTTTTTGTATCTTTAGTAGAGATGGGGTTTCACCATGTTGGCCAGGCTGGTCTCAAACTCCTGACCTCGTGATCCACCTGCCTCGGCCTCCCAAAGTGCTGGGATTACAGGCGTAAGCCACCATGCCCGGCCATTACAACTATATTCTAAGATTAACTAGCAATCATAAGTTTTTTGTTTTCAGTCTAGATTTTAGAAATGCGAATGACACCAGGCCCAACACTTTGGGAGGCCGAGGCAGGTGGATCTCATAATATCACATCGCCCTCCCCAAAAAGGAACATTGATAGAAAACTATAAGATATAAAACCTAACAAAAATCATCTGGTGAATAGATCCCATGGAATACACAAGAAGAAGATATAGGTGCATTTAAATAATCTCAAAGGAAAAGAAGAAGTCTCCTTTGAGAAGTCACATCTAAATGCTTATCCAGGCTGGGCACAGTGGCTCATGCCTATAATCCCAGCACTCTGGGAGGCCGAGGTGGGTGGATCGCTTGAGCCTAGTTGTTTGGGACCAACCTGGGTAACATAACAAAACCCCGCCTCTACAAAAAAATACTAAAAAAAAAAATTAGTCGGGCATGGTAGCACACGAGTGTGGTTCCAGCTACTCAAAGAGGCTGAGGTGGGAGGATTGCTTGAGCCCGGGAGGTTGAGGCTGCAGTGAGCTGAGATTGTGCCTTGCACTCCAGCCTGGATGACAGAGTAAGACCCTGTCTCATAAATAATAAATAAATAAATCCCTGTCCAAATAAATAAATGCTTATCCAATCGCTGAAAAGGAGCTCGAGCGTGTACACGAGGCCCCAAGCACAGCTCTGTCCTCCGTGGAGCTGGCTTTATTCTCCCCGTGTTTCCTGCTCAGGTGCCCTTTTCTCTTTCATTTCTCACAACACTCCCGCCTCTCACTTGGCATTCAGTAACTGAACAAGGAGCGGGAAAGCATGCTAATGCATCGCAAATGGAGTTGCTGCATTTCCTTAAAAGGACTGTCATGAGCATTTCATTTTAACGTATTACCCGGAATTGTGTCAGTGTTTTAAGTGAACTATTTTCTGTAATCCATATCCTTATGAATATAAGACATTAACGTACTGATTGCCACTTGAGAATCTCATTTTAAAGTGATTGTACTGCATTTCTAAAATTTGCATTTTTAAAGCAAGTTTCCCCCACAAATAACACCTTACCCAAGACACCTCCAGGCAGAACGTTGTTTCTTACAGTAAATGATATTTTAATATTTGGTTTCAGTAGAGACCAGTCTAATCAATTATAGAGTAACACACTTTACTTGTAATAAATTCAAAAAAGTGATAGCTATACTGTCATTTGTAGATGTTCTTAAGAAATATGGAATCTTATTCCAGACAGGCATTTCTGTAACTTTCTGGTGCTTTAAATGATGCTAATGAAGATTTGACATCAGTTCACCACATTTTTGAAAATCAAATTGTTGGCTCAGCCGCTAATGAAACACAATCTCAAAGCAGTTTTAACAACCATTTACATTTTTTCTGAAAACCTCACTCTACCGTTTCTATGGGGTCCCTGACTAGAAATATCAAAAGTCTACATGAATATAAAACAATATAGTCTATTTTTCAAAGAGAAATTGAGACTGATGCAAAATATTTGACTTCTTTTTTTTTTTATATGAAACATAAATGTTTATTCATTGGCAAAGCCTTAACTTCTCTAAGCCTCGTTTCCCTCATCTGTCACTTGGCGGGTAATCCTATTTAGCTCAGAGGGTTACCAGGAGACTTAATGGGATACTGCATAATAAGTACTAAGCACAGTGCCCCCCATCATGTACTGCCCTTGGTCTGTGCTCTAATATTGAAGCAGGATGTTTCCCTGACCGCTTTGTGGGACTTGCAACAGGGGTGCCCTCAATTACCCAGCCCACAGCTTTCAACTCCTCATGGGAGGAAGCATGCACGCGAATGAGGCAGGAACTGGAGTGCATGAATGCTGAAACCAGCCAGCCACTTAGGTACTGCCAGGAGCAAACGCCACTCACTTGGACCCACTGTGCTCCACCCCTTGCAGGGGTAAGCACGCGGGTGAGTGGGTGCAGGAGTCAGGGTGAGCGCTTTTGAGCGCCAACAGGAGTGAACTCTGTGCAGGCTCCGTGGCAGCATCTAGGAGTGGTGCCTGCAACCCCTGAAGCCCCAGAGGGCATGTTACAGTGCTTTTAGTTCTGCTGTCCCCAGACGGCCTAAGTATCAACAGCTCAGTGGCTTTTCACGTAAGCTGGCTGCCTTCTGCCAGTGAGGACAAAGGGCAAGTGTGACAGCCTTTTGTAGCCACACTAGCAGCATCCGAGCTCTTGTCCCGCATCCAGGAGAAATGACATCACACAAATTGAAGGATGACAAATGTAGGGGATTTTTATTGCCGATGAAAGTGGCTCTCAGCAGGAAGGGAAGTTGAAAAGGGGATGGAGAGGGAAGGTAATCTTCTCCTGAAGTCCAGCCATCTCTGGCCAGATTCTTCTCTGATGTTACGTGTCAAGCTGTCCCTCTGAAGTGAAGCCGCTTCTCTCCAATGTCTAACCATAGTCACCAACGTCCAGCTGCTTCTCTTCTCTCTGCCAGCTGAGTATGGGGTTTTTATAGGCACAGGATGTCAGGGGGCAGGGCCATGGGTGGTTTTGGAAAAGGCAACATTTGAGCTGGAAAACAGGGATGTAAGTTCTCACTTTGGGCTGCAGTTTCTGGCTTGAGGGTGAGGGTTTGACAGGGACCCGCCCCTTTCTGCCTAGATTTTCTCTGCCACCTTTCTCTACCATTGTATCAATATTATTATCACATGGCCCTGAGTTGGAACCATCAGGTCCTGCAAACTCCAGAGCATCTACTTACTGCACATTGGCCCCCCCAGGGGAATTGGTCCCAGCCAAGGGTCTCTAGGAAAGAGGCACATCAACTAGATGTGGAACACACTCCGGTTTTGGAAGTACTGGTTCTGTTCTCCAGGGCATCAGAATCCTCCTTTTTGTGACCCTGCTGCCTTACAGGAAAGAAACAACAGTTGAAACACTGGGAATTTTCCCCAATAGGGAGAAGGCACAGAAAGGAGAAAGCTAAAGAAGAGAGTGAAAGAGGCCCAAAGAGAATGGAAAAGTGAGAGCAGGCCATTTGCCAGGGCTCATTCCTGCCATCCAGCCCCAGCTCCTGGCTGCTCAGTGGACGCTTCTGCCAATGCTCACAGCCCCACAGGCCTGGGCCCGGGAGTCTCTGCTGCCACCCGTGGTTTCTCTCCCTGTTCCACCATCGGAACCCCATGCCCCAGGCTCTCTCCCTTGAGGCCACCTCAGAAGGAGATACCAAGGGGAAGACAGCTCTTTAAGAAGTGTAGACTCCATGTTAAATTGAGACCCCGCAGACAGATACGGCTTTGAAACAATTGATTTTCTGTGGTGTCATAGGGAAACCTGCCCTCCTCAAAGTTGCGAAAACTGTCAGGGACCCTATGAAATGGAGCGGGAGTCACTTTTTCTACCCAGCTCTAAAAGAGGAGACAAAACTAACACTGGTTCACAATAGATAACAGAACGGCTTCAGCAAAGGGCAAGCAAGCGTAGAGAGATGCTGGAGAAGAACAAGGCACTTTATCCATGTCCCCCACAGCACCCTGCCTCAGCGCTGGGGCAAAAGAATCTTTGTGTGAGCCCAGGGAGTCGGCAGGGACATGAGGGGTTGATGCGGCACCTGCTCAGAGCAATCGCAGCGCTGCCGCTGGAATTATCTTTCTCACACAGTTCCCAGTAGTGGTTAAAAGGCTCTGAGGTCAGTCCGCCTGGCCCACTAGCTAAGGGCTCTTAAGCATTTAAGGACTCTTTCAACATTTGTTTCTGTTAGTTTCTAAAACTTGGAACAGAGGGCCATTGATTTAACTGGTATAACAACGTGTGGGTACATTGCACTTGTTACCTTGGAAATGCCTCTACTCAGTCTCACCTCTGAGCTGAGTTAGTTTGGGAAGATGTTGAGCCTACAGGTAGTGGGGAGATGGTGAGATTCACCAAGGCATGTGTTGTTTGTGATTGATTGGGTTGGGAAAGTTTCCTGACTGCCAAAACCTCCATCAGACACTAGCCGGGGATTCTGTAAATCTCAGAATTCCAAGGGGATTGGATTTTGAAGAAAGGAGATGTTCACGTACAGGCTACTAGAATTCTTGTTCTTTTTTTTTTTTTTTTTTTTTAAAGAATTCTGAAGAAGAAAATAAGTAAG
Source organism: Homo sapiens (assembly GCF_000001405.40). NCBI lineage: Eukaryota > Metazoa > Chordata > Mammalia > Primates > Hominidae > Homo > Homo sapiens. Next base: position 164,899 of record NT_187564.1, read on the forward strand.
AGATCTAAAACAGAACCATATTTTGCCAGGAGGGCAGAGCAGGGCTGCTTTGTTCAATTTGTTAAGAGGGTCAGGGAAGCATCAGAAAAGATAAGGAGAAAAATCAATCAGAACCAAGTCACTGTTGTGAGTTTCGGCAGCGTCTGAAGTAGCCAGAAGGTACTGAGAAACGTATTTTATCACATATAGTCTTATTTTCACCCTACCGTATTTTCTGTTAACACAAGGTTCCTTTAAAGTCAAGTATGCAGCCCTAAATCTTATCGACTCATTAATATTTCATCCAAAACAATGTAACATCTTAAACTGAAACCTAAAGGTAAGCTTTGGACACAAGCATTCAAAGACAGGTATGTTGTACAGCTGGACTATGGTGAGTCAAGTAACATTTTCATTTCTTTTTTTCTTTTAGAAACAGGGAAAATTGACCAAGAGATTCACAAATACAACACCCCAGGATTCACTGGTTGCCTCTCCAGAGTCCAGTTCAACCAGATCGCCCCTCTCAAGGCCGCCTTGAGGCAGACAAACGCCTCGGCTCACGTCCACATCCAGGGCGAGCTGGTGGAGTCCAACTGCGGGGCCTCGCCGCTGACCCTCTCCCCCATGTCGTCCGCCACCGACCCCTGGCACCTGGATCACCTGGATTCAGGTAAAGTCTTCAGCAACCTCAGGCAGGTTGCTTCATTTCTTTAAACCTCAGTCTCTTGGGACTATGGAATGGATTTAATAACAGAACCTCACTGGTAATGTCATTGGAGGATTAAGAAAGGGCAAAGGAACGTTGTGAGTACGGAGTTCTCAGGGCAGCACTTAGCACATCTGAAATACTCAGGGCCAGAAATAAATAAGTTGAAGGTAAAGAATGTAGGAAGTATTAACTCTTCAATTAGGTTAAATGATGACTTGCCTAAACTGATGTCTGCGCCATGACTGTGGGTGATTTGATCAATTCACTGTCTCACTTTTGCCTCTTATGACTCTTAATGACTTGCTGTAACATAGTCTGTGTTTTAATTTAAGAAGAGATTTACCTAAAGCAATATAGAGATCCGTCTCCTGGCTCTGTATTTATATGAATAATACTGGTGGCTTCCAGATCTTTAAGAGGTGCCTTTAAGCTTGCAAAACTCTGTGGATTTAGTCCCACTTCTTTGAGTGGGAAGACATGTAATTTGAAAGCACAGGGCTCAAATGAAAGGATGTAGCTGTTGGCTGAAAAATTAATTGGATGAAAAGAGTACACACATAACCCTGGGTGGGAGACAGCCTATTAAGCTGTATCTCAGGAGACTTAGGTCGTACTCCTAGCTCCACCTAAATTGGCCTTGGGCAACTCAAGTGACCTGCCCAAGCCTCTGCTTTTTCACCCATAAGGTGAAGAAGGGGAGGGGAGTGTAACCTCTAAGTGACCTCCGAATCCAACATTCAATGGGTCTCCAGGCAACATGTGATGTTGCTGAAGCTAAAAAGAGGAAGAAGATGAGGCAGGAAGCAACAGCTAGGAGGCCTGGATTCCAGCACCATCACTGCCTCTCACCAGCAGATTAACCTTAGGCAGTTTTCATAACCTCATTCCTCAGTTTCCCCACTTCCTAAATGGAGATAAGACCTAACCCTTGGAATTCTATTTAAAGTGATGTGTTTAAATCTGACGTGTTTTATCACAAGCGTTAAAGTTTAGCTACAATAATATTAATAATCTAATATTATTATATTAGACACAATTTGCTATAATGCTTGAACCTTGAGTAAAGACTTCCAAATCCTCTCCCCCTGCAAACTTGTAATTTGTAACAGTTCATTCTCTAAACCTCGTGCATTTGATTGCTTTAATCATGTTCCGGCCCTGCACATGGAGTGTGTGGCTTCAGTGCAGCTATTGTCATTGTGATTCCTTGCCAGGGCTGTGCTGCAAAGCTTTGTGAAGCTTAGAGAGAAGCCAAAATTGCCCTGTTGTCAGAATAACCCATTTACAGACGAAACAATCCTCTTTGTTCCTCACACATGGATTCCTAGAACTTGACGCGGGGCGCTGTGAGCTAAGGGCACGTATGAAGAATTCCCTTTTATGAATGTTGTTAAGATTACACAGCGGGCTGGCTTGAACAAAGGAAAGCATTCCTAATGCTGAAAGAAGAAAAGTAAGAGTGAAAATACAAGAGGAGAAAAGACATGTCAGGGCCACAGAGGAACAGAGATCTCTCAGATAAATTCCTCCAAATGCCCGAGTAGACAAATACCGTGAATGATCTTTGCAAGGCAGGAGTCCTTCCGCTGTCAAAGGGACCCACTGCCTGAGGCTGTGAGCACCTGTGGTCTGAGTCAGGGCCAATAGACTAGTTTCTAAAACATCTAGATCCTACCTTGGGCCAATATGAGTTTTATGTATTATTACTTAATTAGGAACTTGTTTGTTAAGATCTGTGAGATATGACTGTAGGGACCAAAGAGTTTTTGTTCCTTTACTTTAAAAAAATCATGCTTTGTGTGTGACAGGTTTTTTTTTTTTTTTTTTGGAGACAGAGTCTCACTCAGTTGCCCATGCTGGAGTACAATGGCACCATTGCAACCTCTGCCTCCTGGGTTTAAGCGATTCTCCTGCCTCAGCCTCCTGAGTAGCTGGGATTACAGGCACCCGCCATCATGCCCACTTAATTTTTGTAGAGACAGGATTTCACCATGTTGGCCAAACTGGTCTTGGACTCCTAACCTCAGGTGATCCACCCGCCTAGGCCTCCCAAAGTGCTAGGATTACAGAGTGCTAGGATTACAGGATTCTTTTGATTGATTTATGAAAATGTATATAGGGAACATATCTGTATTTGATGTTCAAATCCAAATTCTGTAATTCTGATATTATGGTAGGCCTGTGCTATGTAACATGAGATCCATTTGCAGAAAAATTTCCACTTACACTTGGAGAGTTCTTACCCAGTGTCCAGCAGATGAAGTATTAATGCAATTGTCATTATACCAATTACAAGGACAGAAAACAGTTGACCGGGCTCGGTGGCTCACATCTGTAATCCCAGCATTTTGGGAGGCTGAGGTGGGTGGATCATGAGGTCAGGAGTTCGAGACCAGCCTGACCAACACGGTGAAAGCCCGTCTCTACTAAAAATACAAAAATTAGCTGGGCGTGGTGGCGCACGCCTGTAATCCCAGCTCCTCAGGAGGCTGAGGCAGGAGAATCGCTTGAACTTGGGAGGCAGAGGTTGCACTGAGCTGAGATGGTGCCACTACAAGACTCTGTCTCAAAACAAAACAAAAAAACAACAGAAAACAGTTTACAAACTATAAGGCAGAGGTTTATTGAAATAATATGATTTTCCTCTTTTAGGTGAATAGGAACATGAGAGACAATGTGGGTTGAGGGGCTGGAAGGGGCAGAGGACAGACGTAGAAATGAGGGAAGGTTACTTAACAGCAGCCTCTGGTTGCTCAGTGTCAGGGAGGAAAAACTTTTCCTCTGTCCTCTTAAGTTCAGTACCTGGGGGCCTGCAAATTAAGCTGATAAAAGACAGATTAACAGGTGGGCAGGGGGACCTTATTTATATGCATATAGGAGCTTGAAAAAGAAGAAACTCAGTAAGTAGTTAAAGCTAGAAACTTATATGCCCAGCTTAGTAGGGAAAAGAGGCAGTGGGGGAAAAGGCCTCTATAGGAGGAACAGATGGATTTCTAGAAGAACAAATGAGAGATAAAGAGTTTGTGATAGTGCTTGTTCATGCAGGCCTGAGTGATCTCTGTATCTCATTCATGGCCATAAAACTTCCCTGGAGAGAGGACTTACGGTAGGTTTCTTGATCATCTTCCTGGGAGTAAAAGCCACCCGTAAGAGGGAGGTATGGCAGCCTCATTTTTCCAGAAGTCTCTGCTTTTTGTCAGATAAAGGAAGCACCAAGAAGGCTTCTTTCTGCACCTATTGAATCCCCAGTGGCTTCAGTTTAAAATGAGTTCCATACCAACTCGGGTTCTAAGAGCATCCCTCACATCAGCAATTGCACTCTGGTTTCGTGAGCCTAAGGTCATCATTCTGAATTTGGACTTTACGGTTTTGCACTTTTCTGGTAATATTTCATGTTTGACTAGAATAAGATTCCTTGCTATCAGATATTTAAAAACAAAACAGTATATACACAAAAATGCCTTTCTACCTGTAAATAACGTGAGGTACTTGAGTCTGTGTAGGGTTAGGATGGAAAGAAAATAACATGAGAGCTCGTGAGTCCTGGCTTGACTAGAGGACATTTGGAAGTAGATTATCTCATCTGGTGCCTTGGAAGTTTAGTCCTCAACAAGTAGCAGTGGGTCTCCTGGAAGCTTTTTTAGAAATGCAGAATCTCAGGCCCCTCCCCATACTGACTAAATCAGCATTCGTGTTTTTTAGCATGGTTCCCAGGTGACTTACCACTGCAATTTAAAAGCTCTAATCTTGTATAGTGCTTCTCAATCTGGGAAGCACTTTAAAACTACCTGGGGAGCTTTTTAAAACCCAAAACTACCTGGGGAGCTTTTTAAAACCCTGATGTCAAGACTATACTTCTGTCAGAGGTGTCTGAACCAGAGCAACTCCATCTCGAATAGGGGCTGGGTAAAATAAAGCTGAGACCTACTGAAAACTGGTTGCAGTAAAGAAGCCAGCTAAAACCATCAAAACCAAGATGGCAATGAGATTGACTTCTGGTCATCCTCACTGCTACACTCCCATCAGCACCATGACAGCTTATAAATGCCATAGCAATGTCAGGAAGTTACCCTATAGGGCCTAAAAAAAGGGGAGGCATGAATGATCCACCCCTTGTTTAGCATATAATCAAGAAATAACCATAAAAATGGGCAACCAGCAGCCCTTGGGGCTGCTCTGTCTGTGGTGTAGCTATTCTTTTATTCCTTTTTGTTTTATTATTATACTTTAAGTTTTAGGGTACATGTGCACATTGTGCAGGTTAGTTACATATGTATACATGTGCCATGCTGGTACGCTGCACCCACTAACTCATCATCTAGCATTAGGTATATCTCCCAGTGCTATCCCTCCCCCCTCCCCCCACCCCACAATAGTCCCCAGAGTGTGATGTTCCCCTTCCTGTGTCCATGTGTTCTCATTGTTCAATTCCCACCTATGAGTGAGAACATGCGGTGTTTGGTTTTTTGTCCTTGCGATAGTTTACTGAGAATGATGATTTCCAATTTCATCCATGTCCCTAGAAAGGACATGAACTCATCATTTTTTATGGCTGCACAGTAGTCCATGGTGTATATGTGCCACATTTTCTTAATCCAGTCTATCATTGTTGGACATTTGGGTTGGTTCCAAGTCTTTGCAATTGTGAATAGTGGAGGAGGAGAGGTGCTCTGCTTTTTAGAGTTTCCAGTTTTTCTGCTCTGTTTTTTCCCTATCTTTGTGGTTTTATCTACTTTTGGTCTTTGATGATGGTGATGTACAGATGGGTTTTTGGTGTGGTTGTCCTTTCTGTTTGTTAGTTTTCCTTCTAACAGACAGGACCCTCAGCTGCAGGTCTGTTGGAGTTTGCTAGAGGTCCACTCCAGACCCTGTTTGCCTGGGTATCTGCAGCGGTGTTTGCAGAACAGCGGTTTTTCGTGAACTGCGAATACTGCCATCTGATCGTTCCTCTGGAAGTTTTGTCTCAGAGGAGTACCCGGCCGTGTGAAGTGTCAGTCTGCCCCTACTGGGGGGTGCCTCCCAGTTAGGCTGCTCAGGGGTCAGGGGTCAGAGACCCACTTGAGGAGGCAGTCTGCCCATTCTCAGATCTCCAGCTGCGTGCTGGGAGAACCACTGCTCTTTTCAAAGCTCAGATGGAAATGCAGAAATCACCCGTCTTCTGCGTCGCTCATGCTGGGAGCTGTAGACTGGAGCTGTTCCTATTCAGCCATCTTGGCTCCTCCTATTCTTTTATTCCTTTACTTTCCCAATTGATACAGTTTGACTATGTCCCCACCCAAATCTCATCTTGAATTCCCATGTGTTGTGGGAGGGACCTGGTGGGAGGTAATTGAATCATGGGGGCAGGTCTTTCCATGCTGTTGTCGTGACAGTGAATAAGTCTCACAAGATCTGATGGTTTTATAAAGGGGAGTTTCCCTGCACAAGCTCTCTCTTTGCCTGCTGCCATCCATGTAAGACATGACTTGCTCCTCCTTGCCTTCCACCATGATTGTGAGGCCTCGCCAGCCATGTGGAACTGGGAGTCCATTAAACCTCTTTCCTGTATAAATTACCCAGTCTCAGGTATGTGTTTATTAGCAGCATGAAAACAAACTAATACACTAATAAACTTGCTTTCACTTTACTCTATGGATGCACCCTAAATTCTTGGATCTTGCGTGAGATCCAAGAACCCTCTCTTGGGGTCTGGATCAGGAACCCTTTCTACTAACACTTCCATGCACCATTTCTATAGTTTCTTACCAGAGAAGTTTCTCTGAACATGTGGAGCACCGGAAACCACGAGGAGGCGGCTCAGCATTCACTCCTGAGCATGAAGCTGGCTCTTGGTGGTGCTTCTCTGCAATTGCCTTTTGCTGCTGATGATCACTCTTCTCTTCCTTTGGGAGAGTGAAAGGGAAAGGAAGCCATCTGAAGGGTCTTCATGGTTATTTTTTAAAAAGAAAAATCCCAATATCTAGTACTAAACCCCTGACGGACCAAATCAGACCCTCGGGGGGATAGGAGGGACACAGGTGTGTGTGATGTAAACCCCCCTCCCCAGGAGTGTCCAGTGTGTGACCAAGGTCAAGAATCACTCACCAAATGAAAGAAGGGTCCCTTTGGTAAGTGCATCAAAATAAGGTTACCAAAAGAAAAAACTGAATACCCAAATACTGCCCAAAACATGGTTTATGAAAAACAATAAAGCCGTTAGGTGGTTAAATCACAAATAGTAAAGGCTGTACCATCAAGCTTGCAAAGAGACCAGGCTCTCCGGCCATTTTATAAGGAAGCTCACTCAGAGGAGATGTTTTTACCTAAACTTGAGGAGAACTGATCTGCCTGTTTGCAACTGGAAAGCAGACTTGAAACAAACAAATGAACAATAAATTTGCAGTGTGGGGCAGGACTCGGTGGCTCCAGTGAAAGCACCTCATTATGAGGAAGATGTGAAATTATTACTGTGTTTTGAATTGGCTGCTAACCTACTCTGAAAGATAGAAAAAGATGCTGCTTTAAAATGAGGGCTGTGCTTTTCTGAAAATACAGCAGGTGCCTTGCTGTGAAGAGTAAGGAATCGTATGGCCTTATGGTTAAAGGGATCTTGGCAAACCAGGGCTACTCAATCCATACCTATACCAGGATGTTTGCATACCTATACCAGGATGTTTGTTTTGCAGGAACTTGGTGTTAGAATGGAAATTAGAATTGAAGACATCTACCCATAGGTCTGGTGATCTTTCTGCTCCCATACCTGTCTTTCTACTGTCTGAGATCATAGTAAATGATAAAAACAGAAAATAGGTTCTAAGGTATGCTGGCTTTAGTAATAAGATTCTTTTTCTCATCTGTAACACTACTGTTACACTTCTATAACAAACACTATTTGTTACCTCTCCAATGTCCTTTGGGCTCTATCAGTGTTTTCTAAAATGAGGGACATTTATGTTGGTCAGGTTGTGCACTGCACAACTATAACAGATGTCATTTGTAGTGCAGTCTCTGGCTTCTGGAGCAGTGCAGCATGTAGCCTAGATAGGGGGTCGCCATTATGGGAAGCAAATAGACATGGCCTCGTGTAACATACAAAGCAAGTCATTTCCTGTTCATTTGTCTTTCAGTCCTTCTGATTTTATAAAGAGAAAGTCTCTATTTGGTTCTGGCACGCTTTTAACACCTCTCCCATGATTGTATTTTACCTTATAATAAAGAGAGAACAGGCTTCTGGTTAGTGCCTCACAGGCAATAGAATTACTCAGTAGGGATGTAAAGTTTTATCAATAGATTTATATAAATAAGAAATTTAACCAATTTTGTGAAAATAAGTAAATAAATAATACTTGGATTTTACAGTATATGTCAAGAAAAATATGAAGGTGATTTTCACATGATTGGAGTTTGGGAAACACTGGGCAGTAGAGAAAGATCACCCCAAGCGCTAGGGCCTAGCATGGGGCTTTAAGAACACATTTTTATAGGGGGATGAGGTAAACAAAAGACTTACACATTATGATTTAAGTTGACTTGATTTAAAACAATTCTGCTCTATTGGAAACATCCAATCTTTTTTTCTTCTAGTTATTTCCCTCTTTGATAATAAGTACAGCCTGTTTCTAAACCATTATATGGTCCTTAGGAATATTTTTAGAACAGTAGTTACAAGGTAGAAAAAGTAACCCCCAGCCCTGAGTTAAGGTTTATTTTAAGGTCACAGAATGCCAGGCAATTGCCGTGATTTACCTCTCAGAATTATGGACTCTGTTGTGTTTCTTCCTTTTTGTCTAATTTAGGGAATCTTATTTGCTTGGAATGAAAAGGATTTGCCAGCAGGAAGACAGCCACAGATGGCAGTGCACATTCTGTAAAATACAAAAACAAAACAAACACCAGAAAAAATAAATCCAAGAGTCTGATCCCATAAATTTCTGCACTAAGGAGCAACTCCAAACTGCACACCAACCTGCTTTAAAAGGCGTTTGTGTTAAGCCTTAGAGTGTTTTATCACATTCGTGATATTTGATACAGAATACGTCAGACCAAAAGCCACATCCTAGGATCTTCTTTAAAATATCATTAAAATAGATGAAGCATTTTAAGATGTAAAGTTTCATTTCCTAAGGGATCCTCTAGTTGTAAAGATTGCAGCTAGTTGTTGTTGTTATTATTATTTGAGATGGAGTCTCGCTCTGTCACTAGGCTGGAGTGTAGAGGCGTGATCTCGGCTCACTGCAACCTCCACCTCCGGGGTACAAGCAATTCTACTGCCTCGGCCTCCTGAGTAGCTGGGACTACAGGCACGCACCACCACACCCAGCTAATTTTTGTGTTTTTAGTAGAGACAGGGTTTCACCATGTTGGCCAGGATGGTCTCGATCTCTTGACCTCGTGATCCGCCCGCCTCAGCCTCCCAAAGTGCTGGGATTACAGGCATGAGCCACTGCGCCTGGCCACAGCTAGTTATTTTAAAGGACTTCTAGTAGGTCCAGGCTAGATTCTCAGCAAAGTTTGCATGGTATGTGATGTGTGGTGCATCTCACCCCAGAAAGGACCTGGGAGTCCTTCTGTAAATTGCTAGCAGGTGAATTCACAGCATCCACTGTAACCTTAAGTTATCTGGTTCTCTGCCCTAACGCTAACCTGCATCTGACACTGGGAGGTCCTTGACCAGGAATTCTCACAGCTCCTCCAACAGGGAAGTGGGTAGGAGATGGAAAATTCAGAAGCAGGAGTGGAGGGAAGGGAGTTAACACCCAATTCTCCACCTCCCCCAGAACCAAGGCCAGGATTGTCAAGAATCCAGGGTTGAGAATCCCCTGCCAAGCTGGTCCAGTGGATTCACTCAGGTTGGCAGAGTGGCTGAAAACCAGCCCTCTTAGGCACGTGGGTCTTCTCCCAGATATATTAGGAACTAGATGGAACTTGGCACTTGGGATCACTCAGTGTAACAACCCCATACCCCCATTAGACTTGAGTATACCCAGCACTGAGCTAGGAACTCAGGCTTCCCGTCACCACATCGGACACTTTACCACTGGCCACAGATTGGTTTCTGAAGTCCTCTTACCTCCATCGTTATGACTTCTAAGTTGATTTCTGTCTATATTCCAAGTTTCCTTTCTATCATCTGGCCATAAAATATTTTTATATCTTCATGTGCAAAGAGTTATGGATATAAAGAACTTTTTAAAATTACATATATCATCTATTCTGTTTTCTTCCTAACTACAAGCTGATCATTGGTTTTCTTTACCACCTGCAAGCACTTAAAAGTAATCATTCCTGCTCTTATAATTACATCTTAATTATTTCTGAACAGATCCCTTTTCTCTCCTTATGCTAAGACTGCATGATTAATGCATTTTTATCTCTCACACTCAGTCTTTTTATTATGTTATTTGTCTTTTTCCCTCTTCAGTCACCAACACAGTTCACACTTAATCGTGTGAAGAAAAACTATCATCCCTTGCTTGCTAATGTGCATTTTCCTGCAAAGATCCAAATTCCACTTTTCCTGCAAAAACACCAAGCGCATTTATGTATCTCAAATCAACTATGGTATTAGTCTCACCTATTTTTGCCTGGTCATTTTAGTTGTATCCCACCTTTTGTTTCTACAGTGTTTTCATAGAAAATCAGTTTCTACAGTGTTTTCATAGAAAATCACATTGTATCCATGATTTTGTTGAGTCAAAGGATATGTGTGTTTTTAATTTTGATACTGCTACAAACCATCCTCTAATGATATAATCCGATTGACAGTCCAGCAATCTATGAATACCTTTTCCCCACATCCTCACCAAAACAGTGCATCATATTATTCTTTTAAATGTGGCTGTTCTATATGAAAAATAAAATTTTCTTGTTATAGTTTGTATTTCATTAATTATGAGTTGGGTTAAGTATCTTTGCATATGTTTATATATCATTTATATTTATTTTTCCATAAACTCCCTCTTTATATTCTTTGCTCCAATAATTATTTATATCTTTATATTCTTTCCTATTGATTTATAAGTATTCTTAATATATTAAGTAAATTAGTATTTTTAATGTTTTCCTTGTTTCATCTCAATTTTTTTGAATTTATGGGATTTTTTTTTCCATGTAAAAGTTACTAAATTTTACATGGTGAAATGTAAAGTGTTTTATGGCTTTTGGGTTTTGTGACATACCTTCTCCATTTAGAACTTATTTTTTAAATTATTCCATGTTTTTTATAATAATTTTGTGTTTTATTTGTAAGTTCTACGTATTTTCTTCCCTGGAAATTTATTTGGGTGGAAGGTGGAAGGTAAAAATCTCACTTTATTTTTTCCCAAATGGCCCACTGTTCCAGCCCCATTGGTTGAGGCTCCATCCTCTCCACCTTTACCATCTTCTAAATTCCCTTCATTTCTGAGTCCCTACTGGACTCTCTGGTCTATTACATTGATATGATGCCTTGTGACATGGGAGCAAACTGCAGTACTTATCATTGAGCTTTTATTATCACATTTAGTGGCTCATAGAGCTAATTTCCCTTTTTTTCTGAGTTTTTTTTCCCAGAATTTTCCTGTTCATCCTTGCACATTTGCTTTTCCCATGTGGATTTGAGAATTTTAATCATTTTATTGGAATTGTTTAAAATTTTTACTGGGATTAAGGTTTATGTATAAGTTCATTACCTGGTGATGCCCAGTTACACCATGCGTGTCTTCTCCATCTCTCTCCAAGTTGCGAAATGATTCAGATAAGTGTCATCCAGATTTTAATGTGCTTAGAATCACCTGGGGGAAATTAGCAAATGCAGATTCAGCTGGTCAAACATGGGATTAGAGATTCTGCATTTCCAACAAGCTCCCAGGTGCTGCTGATGCAGCGGGTCCCTGGAACACACTGGGAGTGGCAAGGAGATAAGCAGCCTTGAGGCACTGCCTCTGGTAGATTTCATAGGTTTCCCCTGGAAAACCACTTGAGCCCACTGCTTCTTGTGGGAGCAGATCTTTGACAACTCTCTCAAGTTATTTTATGATAATCTGTCTAATTAGATTTTCTTTCTCATCTAGGATAATACCCGTTATTTTATCTTTTTCTAGAAATTCGTGCATTTAACCTAGGTTTTCAAACTCATTACTGTGGAGTTGAACAGAAACTTGTTAATAATTTAATTTCCATTCCCTTTTTCGTGTTTTTTATATTGAATGTTTCTGTTGACCCCCCCCCCTTATTGATTAGATTATGTGGCTTTTTTTTTTTTCTTTTCTCAAAGAACCAGCTCTTAGATTTATTTGTCAATTCTTTGTTTTCTTTCTACTGTCGTGTCTTCTTTAAATTTATATTTGCTGGCCTCTAACTTTCTAATTTGAATGTTTGGCTCTCTCTCTTATTTTCCTTCTTGGTGGGGTGTGTGTATCATGGTCTTATAAGAATGTGAACCGAAGTCAACAAATCTTAAACTCCAGCCATGCTCTCTTCTGACCACACCTCTGCTGCCCCAGCCCCGCCTCCAGGACTGCACCCTCCAGATGTAATTGACACCAATGGCTTGCACTAGACTTTTTGCTAAGGGACCTGAAAAGAACTTAGAGGCTGGCGTAAGTTGCCAAAGCCTTCCCACATCACTGAGAGAATAGACTTGGCAGGCTTGTGTTTTGAAAAGCAGTTGGGGGTGCGCTCTGTCAAGGCTCAGCCATGATGAAGAAATAATCAAAGAGCAAAACGTCACTTAAGTGGCTAAACATGACTGGCAGCAGGGTTGGATTCCCCTTCAGCATCGAACACCTCACAGGCCATCCTCTGTGTAGACGGGCTGCTTTCTAGTGGCTCCACAGGCCTGGCCGTGTCAGGGGCTGCCTTTATTCAAAGACTTCTGTTCTGTCTTAACCAGGATCACTTAACTCTCTGAAACTCCAGTGATAAAAAAGCAAAACCGGCACAAACATACAGCTTTGGAACTATCTCCAAGGTCATTGTTTTTTCCCCTGCCGCGAATTTCTTTCATTCCTAATTTTCCTCTACCTTTCTTTCCCTTCATCCCCTACGATAGATTTTGAACCCCAGGGAGGTTAGGACTCTGTCCCGTTCTTCTCCCTGGGCTGTCCACCCTCCGACCCCCACCCCACCTGGCATGGCACTCAAAGGTGCATTTTCCTGGGGTCTGTGCATGGAAATCATTGCAGCTGTCAGCCTGTGTCACGTGGGGCTGGCTAAGTGCGGGGCAACGCGGTTGTACATGTTGCCATGGTGACTTCTCTGTTGATGGCAGAACCACTGACTCCAGCAAGTCACAGTATTCATTTTTGCGTCATGCTCGTGCTACAGGAATGCTATGAGTAGCCCATGAAAATGGAGGCGAGTTGAGCTCAGTGTTATCCCTTGACTTGTGTGTCTTTCCTTACCCCCAGCGATCCCCCATTCAGATGCTTCCTACTGTACCGCATTTTTGAGTATTCTTCAGTATCATGCTTCTGTTACAGCACCATATCACTCAGCTATGGAAGCACTCAGAGGAGCACAACACCCTCTAAATTATCCGCCATCACTTCTTTTACGGCCTCATTTAAAAAGACAATTGTCAGAATTCCCAGGTGTGAATTCTCACAGGGGAATCTCTGTCAGTCACCACCTGGAAATGTTAGTTCCACCTCTGCTGGCCAATCAGCACCTCATGTCCTTGCTATGATCTCTACAGTTGCAGAAGCATTATCCTGATGAGGTTTTTAACACATCACCACATGCTTTTCAGAGAAAAGTCCTTTTATAAATACCAATAACTAAACATGATAAATTGCTTCACTCCTTTGAGATCTTTGTCTGATTCCACGTGCTCTGCATAGACTATTCAGAAATTCTAAAGACGGATGCAGATTCCTAATTCTGCTGTTGAGTTTGTTCCTGAGAGCAACGCTGAAAGACTTTTAAAAAATTAAAATCAGCTTTATGTTGAAATGTAATTGTACATAAATAGCCATATGAATGTGGGGTACAGTTATTTTAAACATAGAAAATAAGATGAATTGTTTTGGAAATTCCCCTTTAAACATGCTAAAATGATTTTCAATCATTGACGGGAATTTTAACTTTTAGAAAACTGGAAAGGATACAGACAAAAGTAGTGATAACTTAAATTTGTAAACTATTTTATTTGTTGAAATGCTTTAATGCATGATTTTGTTTTATCCTGGAATGGCCACATGTGGTAGGCAAAGTGGACATTATCAGCCACATTTTAAAGATAAGGAAAATGCAGCTCAGAGAAAATAAATGTATTCATTCCCTCAGCAAACACTGACTGGGTGGCCACAGAAGTGCGGTGCACAACCCTGGCTGCACATCAGTCACCTGGGGAGCTTTTCACAAATCCCAATGCCTGTTCCCCATCCCAGAGGATTCCTGGTGTGCATCAGGATTGTGAAGCAATGGGGACTGAGTTTATAGCACCTTACTCTAAAGTATGCAGAGACTAGCATTATGAAGTGGAAAATGCATATATTTCAGATTCAGTTATTTTTTTCCCACTATTCCTTCCTCTCAATGAAAATTTTGGAGTAAAACATATAATTCCAGTTCTTTATTCTGAACTGTCTTACTATTTTCTATCACCCTTTAAATATAATGCAGAAGTCTGGAAGGATATGTAATTTGCATACCTGTTGGTGAAATCCCTGCTACTAAATACACTTTGCTTTTTCTTGTTCCACATTCCCCTTTTCGACAGGGAATAAATCATCCCCAAGGCTGCTAGAGCCAATTAAATATTTTTTCACACTCCGTTGACATGAATGAGAAGAACTGTGACAGAGCCACACGGCTCATGCCAGGACTTTATCACGCTATCTTTATAATGATGTGAGCCAGGCACCAGGGAGGAATGGTGTGGGGAACCATCAGGAAGCTTTAATAACCAAGGATAATTTGTTTCATCAGTTTCTCCTTGATGGCCATTTGCCATTTCACCTGTCAGGAAGCAAAACTAGTTGTCTTGTGAGATCTCAGGTTAACTCAAGAAGAGAACAGCTCAGACAACAATGGAAGCATATTTAGCATGGAGCTTTTATACTCAGTTCTCTGAAGTCAGCCTTCTTGGAAGAAAATACATTGTCTTGGGATTGGAATTATAAATTTCCCTTGTGCTAATGCAACCGAAAAGAGTATTTCAAAACCAAGAGCCGAACTGGGCATTCATAAAAGACTTAAAATATGTGTAGAATTAATTTTTAAAAGCACTTTAGGTTTGCCCATGCCCCCCTTCTAACCGCACAGTGGAGACAGAATCTGGTCAGCTGTCTGTGGTCTGGGTGACTCCACCACATCCTCAGCAACGCTCCTCATCTATGTATTATACTAGTTTCTGAAAACTTAAGAATAAAAAGGATCAACCTCACATTTTGATGAAATAGCAGTTACAACACAAACATCCCATGCCTATTGGCAGAACTGGTCCACAGAGCGCAGAAGCACATTCATCATGTAAAGCTGAAAACAGCGTCTTCTGCAAGTTGAGATACCGAGGTTCCAGCAGAAGATAAAAAGCATTTAAAAATATTTAATTATTCACTGAACTCCTTTGAAAGACACAGGATGACAAAGCAGATCAATAATATTCAGCCATTTCCAAAGGGTCCATCCACAGCCAAAGTATGGCCTTTGAATTTACTAGAAATTTCCACAGAGGGAGAGTAAAAGGAATCCCTTCATCCTTGCTTGAGTCCTAAAATAACATGCGCCTAAGTATTCTCACAAATGATGAAGCGCATCTCTTGAGTAGACTTAAGGTGATAAAATGTTATTTTCACTGAGCTCCCAAGCCATACATCATGGAAGTCCAAAGCCCTTACTGATAATTGCATAATGCCCAGGGGATGTGTTTCTCTGCAGAAGTCTGAAGACAATAGATCCAGGGTCTCCTGAAGACTTTCATCTTATGAATTGTGTGAATCCCTGACCACTGCCTAAGAGGAAAGGTGAAATACATCAGAGAATGTCCTTAAAAATATCCCTTTTTGACTTACTATAATTGGTTGCTTTCCTCTTTTAACTATCATAATTTTCTCAGCCACCCTCTCCCTAGAAACTGGGGCTATTTCTATGACTCAGCAAACAACCAATTCTTGCTAATACTGCTTTGCTAATAAGGAAACCACAAGTTCTCTTAGCTGAGACTCCTGTATAGCAGGTGTGTTCACAAAACTTGGTGAGCACCCATATCTGAGACACAGCATTCCATAAAGCCAGAGGCAGTCACCAAGGCTGTCTGACATACCATAATATGCCCGTATGGCTTCAGGCTTTCCACCCTGATCTGGCTGTATCCCGCATTGCACCCATGCAGCAGCAGAACCAGCAGTAAGAATGTTTTGTCAAAAAACAAATCCATAAACTTCAAAAAAATCCACGGTACAGTATTTTTAAAAATACGTCTAGCCAGGCGCAGTGGCACGTGCCTATAGTCCCAGCTACATGAGTCCAGGAGTTCAAGATCAGCCTGAGCAACATAGCAAGACCCTGTCTCTAAAAAGAAAATTTTAAAATGCATCTGTTCTCTCTCATATATGCCTTTAAACGCATCCATAGCATCAAGAACCTAAATGCCAACATCCCAATATTTTTCCTCCCTGATAAACTTGCTTTAGAGATTCAACTTGTATTTTTGCTTTGAACCAGGAAAGGTATCCAAGGTCATACTAAGATAACCATTTATTAAACTCTTTGGCTGTTTTTTCCTAAACTGTAATAAACTCCCCCTCTCCAACATTCAAAATAATAGTAAATAATTCTCTCTGAAATTAACACAGTGTTCCTATTATTGCTTTCACAACACTAAAAAGAAATAGAACTAACGGAGTCGAACTGTGGGGCATTCTGGCAGGCAAATCATTAAATTCACACAAATGATTCGGCCAAGGGAAAAAGGACAAGGTTCTCAGAAGGAATTATTTCAGCTCCCTCTCAGACACTGCTTTAAATTAAAACACACACACACACGAGCAGCTGAAGACCTGAGTCACCAATGGTCTACATTAAATTTCTGCAACTGAAAGTCAGGCAGGTATTCAAGCACTCTGGGAGCCTGTTAGAAATACAGATGCCCAGGTCCCCCACCCAAGACCAACTCAGGCAGAAGCAGCATTTTTACCAGAGCTCAGGGCATCCGTATGCCCCTTAATGTTTGAAAGGTCTGAATCAGAGTGCTCTCCCCCAAAGGCATCTCAGACTGAGATAGAAATTGAAGAAAAAGCCTAAGGAGGTTCAGCAACTTTTTCAAGGCCGAAGAACCCACCAGTTACACAAGTGCAGAGCCCTTTGTCCCTGACATTCAGAGCCCTGCATGCATAGGAAGTGACAGCCCCTTCCGGGGAACCCTGCTGCCGCCACGCGCATTCTGGAAACTGTGCAGCAGGAGAAACAGCGTTTTCCTTCAGACCGGGGTTTAAATGGCACTTCCCGAATTTATATTCCCCTAGATTTGGGGCTTCTTCCTTCTTGCACTCCTGTTAACATCAGCATGAATTCATAAACTCCCTGCAGCGGAAAGGAAAAGAAGCCGCGACAAACCTCAACGAAGAGCCGTACGGCACTGTTAACCAAGTGCTCCAGTCCTGCCCCAGTGTTTACAGGAAATTGGTTCCAGGACCCCCAAAGACACCCAAATCCACAGATCCTCAAGTTTCTGATAGCAAATAGTGTGGTAAATACCTACATATAACCTACACACACCCTCCCATATACTTTAAATTGTCTCTTGTAGATTACTTGTAATACCTAATACAACATAAATGCTATGTAAAGAGTTGTTGGCCAGGCACAGTGGCTCACGCCTGTAATCCAAGCACTTTGGGAGGCTGAGGCAAGCAGATCACGAGGTCAGGAGTTCGAGACCAGCCTAACCAACATGGTGAAACCCAATCTCTACTAAAAATACAAAAATTAGCCGGGCATGGTGGCGCATGCCTGTAATTTCAGCTACTCAGGAGGCTGAGGCAGGAGAATCACTTGAACCCAGGAAGCGGAGGTTGCAGTGAGCTGAGATTGTGCCACTACACTCCAGCCTGGGCGACAGAGTGAGACTCCGCCTCAAAAAAAAAAAAAAGATTTGTTATGCTGGATTGTTTAGGGAACAATGACAAGAAAAAAATATCTGTACGTGTTCAGTACAGCTGAAACTTTTTTTCCCGAATATTTTTGATCTGAGTTTGGTTGAATCCACAGTTGGGGAACCCGTGGATGTGGAGGGCCAGCTGGATAGCTGCTCCTGGCAGTGAGGCTCTCTGATCCAGACTTTCAAGGTTCACCCTGAGAACTACAGTAAGATACATGAGAGAGTCCTGAATGAGGAGTCGAAAGACCTCGTCCTCGTAGCAGCGACTCTGGCACCCACCAACCATGTGGCTTTCACCTAATTATCATCCATTCTGCATTTTTGCCTCCTTAACTGTAGAGAGGTTGTGGAACTACAGAATCTATAAAGGCCAGCTGTCACAATCAATACTTTACAAGTGCCCACAATATTTTACAATAACTTTGACCATTGATTTATAAACAATTATAACCAAACATTAGGACTGGAACAATTTGCCCACCTGAGAAATAACAAGACATTTATCTCACATGAAAATGGACACCAAATACCTTACCTTCGTGTTTATTTTATGAAATACAAAATCTGAGCATATATTAATAATGAGCTATTTTTTTCTTTTTTCTTTTTTTTTTTGAGATGGAGTCTTGCTCTTTTGCCCAGGCTGGAGTGCAGTGGCACAATCTCGGCTCACTGCAATCTCCGCTTCCCGGGTTCATGCTATTCTCCTGCCTCAGCCTCCTGAGTAGCTAGGACTACAGGCACCCACCACCACACCCAGCTACTTTTTTGTATTTTTAGTAGAGACGGGGTTTCACCGTGTTAACCAGGATGGTCTCGATCTCCCGACCTCATGATCTGTCTGCCTCAGCCTCCCAAAGTGCTAGGATTACAGGCGTGAGCCACTGTGCCCGGCCTAATGAGCTATTTTCAATTAAAATACCTCTTTATCGTTAATCAGACAAAAGAGTACAATGTCAGCCTACTCTGAGAGCATTAAGAAATCTTTTTCCTGAAAGGCAATTGAGACAATTCAGAAGTTAACTAAGTAACTGATGGAAAGAGGGAGTACAATGGAATCAATTGCCCACTCAGTCCTTTCATATAAAAGTTGGTTTAAACAATCATAACATATAGCCGATGACGACAAATTTGTTTATTCTGTTTCTCTTCACTCGACCTCTTTTGGTCAATGAAAGCAGCTGCCACTTTCTCATTCCTTTAAGAAGCTGGAAATGTAAAGCTTGTTTAACTTTTCAAGTCAGGAGCCAAAAAGTCACAATCACCTTCCCCTGTTTGAAATTGGAAATGCTGGCTGGCTACTTTTTTTTAGAAACTAGGAAGTGAAGGGTAGAGAGAGAAATGTGAAACTCAGGATCATGTCAGTACATGCCACATAATGCTCTGCCTACGGAAAAACCTGCTGACTTAGAGAAATCGCTCCCTCCCAAAAATGTGATTAGCAGGGATCCTCTCTTAAAATAAAACAATGTCCCTTATATCTTCAGCATCTTAGTCGATAACCATTTGTTTTCATATCTGTTTCAGAAATATCAATAGTGAATGGCTAAAAACATTATTTAAGAAAAACAATCATTTTCTGCTATATAACTCAGATTTGAAAACAGAATAAAATGTAATAAAACAAAGAAGCTAAGAACAAAGGCAGAGATACCTCATCTCGCCCGGACCCACTGTAAAAATAATGTTGCAATTTAAATTAAATTATAATTAATAGCAGCAGTTTTGTTGAAGTGTCTCAAATTATTACTTTAGATGCTGAAACTCCAGTGGTTTCCATGGAGATATTTTCTCTAGGAGATGTCAGATATGATCTAATTTTTTTGTCTCTGATATATGACAACCTGAAGCTTCCAGAGCCTTTCATTTTGGGGGGTTTTATGTTAGATATTTCAATTTATTTTTATATGCACTTCAATATGTTTTGTTTGCAATTGGTTTCTGAGCCTAAATATTTTGAAACTTAGTAAATAAGAACCACAACCACCAAATTTATCTTCTGTAGTTAAAAAAAAAAAAAAAACTTTACTCTCTCCTTATTCACTAGGACAGACAAGAAATTATAGGCTAAAGAATTCAAATCTCTTTTTAATATTCTGTTCTTACAATTTTTTTTTTTTTTTTTTTTTTTGAGATGGAGTCTCATTCTGTTGTCCAGGCTGGAGTGTAGTGGCACGATTTCGGCTCACTGCAGCCTCCACCTCCCGGGTTCAAGCAATTCTCCTGCCTCAGCCTCTCAAGTAGCTGGGACTATAAGCGTGTGCCACCATGCCTGGCTAATTTTTTTTTTTTTTTTTTTTTTTGAGATGGAGTCTCGCTCTGTCGTGCAGGCTGGAGTAGAGTGGCGCAATCTTGGCTCGCTGCAACCTCCACCTCCCGGGTTCATGCCATTCTCCTGCCTCAGCCTCCTGAGTAGCTGGGACTATAGGCACCCGCCACCACGCCTGGCTAATTTTTTGTATTTTTTGTAGAGATGGGGTTCCTCCGTGTTAGCCAGGATGATCTCGATCTCCTGACCTCATGATCCGCCCGCCTCGGCCTCCCAAAGTGCTGGGATTACAGGCATGAGCCACGGCGCCCAGCCTATAGCTGTCTTTTAAATCAATTTCTAGTACTTAAGCATCTGCCCTGAAACTTGTTTTATAATTTTTTCACATTCTGTAAATGGAATCAAAAGTTATATTCAATATAATATTTTAAAGCACAATTTGCACGATTCCTGGTTTCATGAGTGTTTCTGTAAAGGTAACGGGCCATTCTCTCTGTGCTACTTTGGCCCATCAGGGGTCTGTATGTGTCACCAAGGGAAGGTCGGATTTCTGTGCTTCTGCAACGTGGGCTCAGTTCTTAGCTTGACACGTTGCTCAGCTGACGCTGCCGTCACGTGTAATTATCCTTTGTCAGATAAAATGTCTCCACACTCAGCTTCTGAAGAAAAGCAAACACAGTCAGAAGCCTTTAGATTCCGTTGGCTTCCCCAGGCGGCCCACCAACCACAGAAAAAGCAGTTGGGCTAAATTGGTTGGTTGCCTTAGGACCCTACAATGCTGTTGTCATTTGATAGAGCTGGTAGAGACGGATGCCTTCTCATCAGAGACAATTCAGCTGAGTGTTTAATGAATGGTTTCTGGAGCTAACTTCTGGGTTCAAATACTAGCTCCACCATTTCCTGGTTGTGTGACCTCAAACAAGTTTTTATCCTTCCAAAATGGGATGAATGTGTCAAGGCTCACATGAGGATTAAATGAGTTAGCATGAAAAGGAGAACAGGGCCTGACTTGCAGGAAGTGCTATTATTATTTCCTAAACAGCTTGTTCCCGAAATTTGAATTTCACATAAATCAACATGAAATGTTTTGGACTCCACAATGGAAGAAAAGCACTTCTGGGCCAGTTCTACCACAACTAGCCACTTGATTTTCTGCCATTTTTGCAACTTTGCCTTTGAAAGTTGCTCCATGGTCATAGAATTCAGAGTTGGACTGAGCCCTAGAAAGCTTTGTGTTTGAGGAAACTCTAGTCCAAATGATGACTCACTTCACATAATCTTAGAAGTTAGAGCTTTACCAGTCATTGCATCTAAACAACCTATGTGGCCTTTGTTGTTTAATGTTGGAGTTCAGAACTTGTCACTGTCATTCAAGAGTCCTCTTACTCGGGAGGCTGAGGCAGGAGAACGGCGTGAACCTGGGAGCTGCAGCTTGCAGTGAGCCAAGACCGCACCACTGCACTCAAGCCTGGGCGACAGAGCAAGACTCTGTCTCAAAAAAAAAAAAAAAAAAGAGTCCCTCTTGCCCCAGCAGCCAAGGGAAGGACATCACCCGCACCCCTGCCCAGCACACAGATGTGAGAGGTGCTCACTCCTTGGTCATCTTGCTGTCACAGCAAAGCCTTTCAGGAATGTAGTGGAGAGATGGGTGAAACACCTTTAGAAATGGAACGAAACTGTCATATTGTATATTCTTTTTTGGAAAACGAAAGTATACTTTTACTCACCCAGTTCCAACATATGACTGTCCTTACAAAGTATGTTTGTTATTTTTGGGGATTTTTCTTAACTTGAAAATGAAAGAAGGGAAAATGTACTGTAGTGAGCTCTCAGACTGCTTCTCATACGGGAGACAAAGACAGTGGAAGGGAAGCGCATCTGTGTGTTAAGGTGTGACTGCAGCCATGTCTGAATATGTTTGAGGACGGATAATATATCTGCCTTCTCCTTGGGTGAGGAGCATAGTAGTGCATATGTGTGTGGGCGCTAAAGCCTTAGCCAGGATGTTTACTAAGTACGTTCCTGGGAGAAGACTCTCCCATCATCAATTCCTCCAGCAATATGTCCTGCCTGGCCTGTGCTCGGTGGAGGAGGGGAGGAGAGCTAATCTCTGAGTGGTGCAATGGAAACATGGTCTACAAATATAGGAACACGGATGACTACACACAAGGGCACGTGCAAGGGAAATATGCAGAAATATGTGGGCTTTTATAAGACTCTAAATCAGACTGGAATGGCACCATGCTTTGGTGGTTAACATGGAGTGTCATTTGGGGATCCGCAAGAGAAGTATGTTGAATAGAGTCTGTGCTTATTTGATGAAAGACTGGTCTTGAGAATGTTATAGCTAGTCTGTTTTAAATTAACACGCCAAATTTGGACCTACTCACTGTTTCCCAAAGTATAGGTTCCTTGATACTCCAACACCACTAAAATTGTTCAGCTCTCCCAGCAAGCTGGGTGAGGGGAACGTGGATGTTAGCAGTAGAATAGGTGAGCTTTATTATCCATGTCTCAGTCATGTTTCTTGGTCTCCGTTTTTCTCTGTGCGCATTTCCAAGAGGATGTTTGTTCCCAGGGGAAAGGTCAGTGGCAATAAAATGTATCTATCAAAATAGCAATTGTGTTGATTGCCAGAATAAAATGGCTTTGCCTCAAGGGGGTAAGCACTCACATGCATTAGGACAACCAGGCTTACAGCATAAATAAATCCAGGAAAATAGGAGTGCTCACACTAAAACAAACAAAAGATTTTGCCCTTGAAATGTATAAGGATTCCTGACCTGAGGATTTTCTACAAGTTATTTTCTAACAATAACCAAAGTCCAGCGGACTAGGAGTCACTAATATATTTTCTATATTCAATATGTCCATCTCCTTTGTTAGGAAGAATAAGAAACCTGCCTCACTGTAAGGATTTAGTTGAGACTAGGCATCTGACTTTCAAAATTCTACCTGCATAGAAGGTTTTGTTATCAGAAGAAGCTACCGATGTTTACATACCTCTTAATCAACTGATTTTAATTATGCCAGCCAATGAACATCCATTTAGCCCTTGCTACTGCATTGTTAGTCACTGGAACTGCAAACATGATTAAGATTGGTCTCTGACTTGAAGAGGATGACTGTCATGTAAGAAGTCACAAGAATTAAGATTATTCCCATTGAGAAAAGGGACACACAGTCTGAGGTCGCTGAGGATACTTTCAGGAAAGTGGTAAGATCTGATGGACAAAGAAAAGGATAGTAAACCAGATGTCCAGACAGAGTGCCATATGGCAGAGAAAAGGTGTGTCAACTGGAGGCATCAGGAACTCCTATGAGACGCGAGAGTTCCCTAGACCCCTTCACTGGACTTGCAACAGGGGTACAGCTCACTCAAACTTTTTGCGGGACGGCGAGCACACAGGCAAGTGGGTGCCGCCGCTGGGGTGAACGCTTTTGGTCTCCAGCCCCACAGCAGCGTCTAGGGGTATGTTACAATTAATGCTGTTTTAACAGTTACTGTCTGGGGATGGCTAAGTGTTAACCAGCTCATTGGAGACAGGGTGACAGACTTTTACCCCCTGCCCTCTTGGTACCCAGGTCCTTGTCTGGCATCCAGGAAGAATCAGGTCACACAGTTTTATTGAGTGATGGAGGTGGCTCTCAGTGGGATGGGGAGCTGGAAAGGGATGAAATGGGAAGATAATTCTCTTCAGTCATCCTCAGCGAAACTGCTTTCCAACTGTCCAGTTACCTCTTCAACATTCAGATGCTGCTTCTCCTCTTGATGTTCAGCCGCTTGTTCTCTTCTCTCCTCTGCCACACTGCTCTGCTCCTCTGCCAGTGGAGCTTGGGGTTTTTATGGTTACAGGACTGGGGGGCATGGCAGGCCAGGGTGGTTTTGGAAAAAGCAGCATTTGGGTGGGAAAACAGGGCTGTGAATTTCTCATTTAGGGCTGTGGGCTCAGGTTTGTGTGTGGAACCCTTGCCAGGGACTCCACCCTCTTCTACCCAGTATTTCCCTGCCTCCTGTCCATATCACCTATACCTAGAATGTTGAGTTGGAAAAGTGACCCCAGGAAGGAAGGGGCAGGAGAGAAATCCAGCTCAAGGGAGTCTTTCTTCCCTATGCCAAGGAGTTCAGATTTACACCCAAAACAATCGTGGAATATTTTTAAATGTTCCTCCCTAGCTCTTGTCATTCTCCTTGCGTCATCTCAGGTAACTCCTTCCACTATCTCCGTATGTTCTGCTACTGTTTTTATCCGTAACCTCAAGGGAACCAGATTACCATTGTAATTTTTTTTTTTTTTTTTTTTTGAGACGGAGTCTCGCTCTGTCGCCAGGGTGGAGTGCAGTGGTGCAATCTCGGCTCGCTACAACCTCCGCCTCCCAGGTTCAAGCGGTTCAAGCAATTCTCCTGCTTCAGCCTCCTGAGTAGCTGGGACTACAGGCACGTGCCACCATGCACAGCTAATTTTTTTTTTTTTTTTTTTTTTTTTTGAGACAGTCTCGCTCTGTCACCAGGCTGGAGTGCAGTGGCACGATCTCAGCTCACTGCAACCTCTGCCTCCCAGGTTCAAGTGATTCTCCTGCCTCAGCCTCCCGAGTAGCTGGGACTACAGGCGCACGCCATCATGCCCAGCTAATTTTTGTATTTTTAGTAGAGACGGGGTTTCACCATGTTGGCCAGGATGGTCTCGATCTCTTGACCTCATGATCCACTTGCCTTGGACTCACCGTGCCTGGCCTACCATTGTAATTTTTTATCACTATATTTAATATATTTCGAAGGTACATATTATTTAAAGAAGGTCGGCCGGGCGCGGTGGCTCACGCCTGTAATCCCAGCACTTTAAGAGGCCAAGACCGGCAGATCACGAGGTCAGGAGATCGAGACCATCTTGGATAACACGGTGAAACCCCGTTTCTACTAAAAATACAAAAAATTAGCCGGGCATGTTGGCGGGCGCCTGTAGTCCCAGCTACTCGGGAGGCTGAGGCAGGAGAATGGCGTGAACCCAGGAGGCAGAGCTTGCAGTGAGCTGAGATCGCGCCACTGCACTCCAACCTGGGGGACACAGCGAGACTCCGTCTCAAAAAATAAAGAAAGAAAGAAATAAAGAAGGTCATGACGGGGCAGGGGATAAGGGAAGACAAAGAAAAAGGAGGTCAGGAAATTTCTGCATTTATCAAAAGGAGACAGGAAATATCACTCACTCACAAAGTATCCAAATATCTAGTAAATATCTCCACCTGGGTGCCCCATTAGCACCTCCAACTCAATATGTCCAATACAAAACTAATTAATTCCTCATCACCTAAAAGGGCTCCTCCTCCCATAGTCCCAACCCAAGCCAAACTGTCTGCAAGCTGGGACTTCCTCAACCCTTCAACTCCTTGTCCCTTTCTAGCCTTCAAAAGGCAGGGTAGAGAAGATTGTTGACTTTGGAACGAACCCTACACCTGGGTTCTAATTTTAGCTAGACTATTCACAAGCTTGGTGACTTTCTAGAAGGATATGGACTAAATAGTGTCCAGAGAAGAGTAATTATAATGTCAAAAGGTCTGGAAAAGATGGGCAGTAACGGTGCAAGTTTTCATTCCTGAAAAATAGCTTTTGGTCTTTGAAGGGTGGCTTATGCCAGGGAATTGTATACATTCATAACCAAATCTTCCTGTGCTTATGGTTTATGGGTAGCATGACTTATCAGGCAATTTACTGTAAATGGACAAGTTCATAATTGAAACCACATCCATGCTTCAGTACATAATCTAAAGACTATATAAACCAAACTCTTCAAGGATGCGTAGAATAAACAGACCATGTCGGACCAAGAAGTTCTCATTAGCTAAAGAACTTTTATTCTTTGTCTATTTTATTGTTCACTGTATATCCTCAGCACTTGGAATGAAGTCTGACATATAGTAGGCATTCTATAAAGATTTAGTGAATAAGTAAATGAATAAATTTGAAGAGAAGATTCAGATTTAAAAAAGAAAGCCAAGGTTTTTATTATATGTTTTTATATAAACCAGTTTTATTCCCACAGGATAATTTTAGGATTAATCTTATATCTGATGATAAGCCTAAATAAATGAAAGATCTTTGCATTCTTGGGCTGACATTTGGGATTGGGAATATTAATCCACACTACCTACCCCAGAAAATCCTGAAGGGAAATGGGAAAGTGAGCTGATGAGAAAGTAGCTGACTACGCTGTACTACGTGTTGGCTCTCCCCATTTCCCTGCCTAGCTAACTGGATTTAGGATTGGACCAATTGGCCGGGCATGGTGGCTCACAGCTGTAATCCCAGCACTTTGAAAGGCCAAGGTGGGAGGATCGTTTGAGCCCAGGAATTCAAGACCAGCTTGGGCAACATAGGGAAACCCCATCTCTACAAAAAATAAAAAAATTTGCCAGGTGTGATAGTGCATGGCTGTGGTCCCAGCTACTCAGGAGTCTGAGGCAGGAGGAACACTTGAGCCTGGGAGGTCCAGGCTGCAGTGAGCCATGATTGTGCCACTGCACTCCAGCCTGGTCAACACAGCAAGACCAAATCTTAAAAAAAAAAAAAAAAAAAAAAAAAAAAGGATTGAGCCAGTTAAAACAAGCAAAAACCATCAGTGGTCTCTTTTGCATCCCCCAGTTAAAGACTTGGGGAATATGAAATCCTTGAATACTCAAGAGTTAAGTTCACTTTCATTTGTAGCTTGCTTAGTGTCTGTGCTTTTACTCAGTCAACTGATAGTTGAGATAATTTGGAATATATATACGTATCTATCTAAAAAGTATAATTTTCCTGGTCCTAAACAAGAATATCAAGTCTGGCCAGGTGCAGTGGCTCATGCCTGTAATTGCAGCATTTTGGGAGGCCAGGGTGAGTGGATAACTTGAGATCAGGAGTTTGAGACCAGGCTGGCTAACATGGTGAAACCCTGTCTCTACTAAAAATACAAAAATTAGCCAGGCGTGGTGGCAGGTGCCTGTAATCCCAGCTACTTGGGAGGCTGAGGCAGGAGAATCACCTGAGCCTGCAAGGCAGCAGTTGCAGCAAGCCAAGATCACACCACTGCACTCACTCCAGCCTGGACAACAGAGTGAGACCCTTTCCCCACACCGCCCCCGCCCCACACACACACAAAAAAAGAATATCAAGTCTAAAAGTGAAAGGATTAAATCACATGTGTTGAAAGAATCTGGAATCTCCCTTTTTGGTTGCCATATTTCCAAGAGAAGAGGAGGAAAAAGGGCTCTACCTGCTTTTCATCATTATCCCGGATAATCTTGGAAGTCCATAGCCCAGGAATAAATTAGTGTTAGAAAACGGAGTATGTAGCAATGTTCTCCCTGAATCATAACATAAACCTGTTTGCCTGGTGTGTACACATTTCATTGTACCAAATAAGTACTTCTAAATTCTTTTTACATTTAACTGGTGCCATCCAGTAGCCAGAGCTTGCTTTAGACTAAGGTGACCTGCTTCTGTTGGAAGATTTACCTTAACTTCTCCAACAGAAGACCAACAAATGTGAATTGTTTCTGAAGTTGGATTAGGTCCTATGGATGACAGAAGATAGTCTGCTGACTTGCAGATGGACTTCGGGATCTATTTGCCTTTACCGGGCTTAAAATTTGTTTTATCTTAGAGAAATACCTAAATTTAACACAACTGATTCTTACATTTGTAATAGGGAAAGAAACAGAAAATTCACTAGGCAGTTAATATTCTTAACTGTTTTGAATTATTACCCCCTTACAAATTCCTAAAGTGTGCCAGTGTCTTATTACAGCCATGAAAAATACAAGTTTAAAGGAATGATTCCTTTTTAAACTTTTTAATACTGTAGCTGTAAAAAGCTCATCTACAAATACATTGAATGCCACCAGTTGTGCATGGGGTTAAAAGTGGATGGGAAGCAGATTTCAACCAAATGTAAGAAACATATTCAAATGCATAAACTCGTCTGTCTGTGGAACTAGAGCAGGCCAGCTCAGGTAGCTCTAGGATTCTCTAATATTGCTCCAAGTGGGAAGTCGTGTTTACCTAGGCCTTGTGCAAAGAGAAACAGCAGGAACAGGGATGGAGGCTGTTGTGATTCTTGTGGGAGACAATGGCAAGACGGGTCCATCTGAAATGGAGATTTCATTTGGGAAAACAGGAAGTGTTGAAGAGTTGCATGAAGAAATAGGTATCAAATTATTTGGGATCAATAGTATACTTGACTCTGACACTTGACTCTTTCTTTCTTTCTGTACAGCCAGTGCAGATTTTCCATATAATCCAGGACAAGGCCAAGCTATAAGAAATGGAGTCAACAGAAACTCGGCTATCATTGGAGGTAGGTGATGTCTAGAGGAGGCTTATATGGGGCTACTCAACTATGGAAAGTAATAGTTGTCAATAACATAGTAGTCTAGGAAAAAAAGTTTTCTAGGTTTTTACATTATTCATTTTGCTGTTTAAAGATTATGACATATGATGTGAAGAAATATAGTAAATATAGCCGGGCACAGTGGCTCACCTCTGTTATCCTAGCACTTTGGGAGGCCGAGGTGGGCAGATCACCTGAGGTCAGGAATTCGAGACCAGCCTAGCCAACATGGCAAAACCCCATATCTACTAAAAATACAAAAATTAGCTGGGCGTGGTGGCTCATGCCTGTAGTCCCAGCTACTCGGGATACTGAGGCAGGAGAATTTCTTGAACCTGGGAGGCAGAGGTTGCAGTGAGCCGAGATCGCACTACTGCACTCCAGCCTGAGCAACAGAGTGAGACTCCATCTCAAAAAAAAAAGAAAGAAAGAAAGAAGAATATAGTAAATGTAACCTGGCTACTTTTTAATGCTGGCTTGTAAAAAACAAATAGCAGTGGCAAGCTGGACAGACTCAGAATAATTAAGTAGGTAGTAGTGACCATAGCCAGGACATTTCTTTATCCCCCTCGGATATTTTTCAGTCTTATCCTTTCGCATCCCAAATGGTCCAGGATAGCGTACTATAAAAAAATGAAAAGGAATGCTGGGTGCAGTGACTTACGCCTGTAATCCCAGCACTTCGGGAGGCCGAGGCAGGTGGATCATTTGAGGTCAGGAGTTCAAGACCAGCCTGGCCAACATGGTGAAACCCCATCTCTAAAAATACAAAAGTTAGCCAGGCGTGGTGGCGTATTCCTGTAATCCCAGATACTCGGGAGCCTGAGACAAGAGAATTGCTTGAGCCTGGGAGGTAGAGGTTGCAGTGAGCTGAGATCACACCACTGTACTCCAGTCTAGGTGACAGATTGAGACCTTTCTCAAAAAAAAAAAAAAAAAATACGAAAAGGGAAATGCCAGTCTGATTTCAGTTATCATAATAAAAATTATCAGAAAATCACTGGAGGTCATTATTTTAAGTGAAATAAGCTAGGCACAAAAAGACAAATATTGCATATTCTCACTGATACACAGGAGTTAAAAGATTTACACACATGGAGGTAGAAAGAAAAACACGTAACAGAGATTGGGAAAGTTGAGCAGGAGGAGGAAGGAGAATGAAGAGAAGTGGGTTACAGGGTGCAAACATACAGTAAGAAAGATAAAAGGAACAAGTTCAGGGTTTACTAGCAGGGTAGGATGACTATATCTAACAAAAATGTACTGTACTTGGTTGATGAACCCCTAAATACTATGACTTGACCACTATTCCTTATATACGTGTAACAAATTTTCTCATGTACCCCGTAAATTTGCACAATGAAAATAATAAAAACTAAAAATGTATCAGAAGATTTAACAAGCTGTAGCATCTAAAATATTCCAGTGTTTTCTTCTCACCATGGACAGCTACATAATAATTTGACTCTCCTCGGATAGCCACTGAGCCTCATGCGTAGATCGATATTGACATCCCTGTTACCATTAAGATCCCAATCCTCACTGTCTTTTGCTTTTTTAAATGAACTTAATTGAAGTATAATACGCATCTATAAGTGTAACAAGTCTGTAACTTTTATTTATTATTATTTTTTGAGACAGAGTCTCACTTTCTGTTGCCCAGGCTGGAGTGCAGTGGCGTGATCTCAGTTCACTGCAATCTCTGCCTCCCGGGTTCAAGCGATTCTCCTACCTCAGCCTCCTGAGTAGCTGGAACTACAGGCACGCATCACCATGCCTGGCTAATTTTTGTATTTTTAGTAGAGACGGGATTGTACCATGTTGGCCAGGCTGGTCTCCAACTCCTGACCTCAAGTGATCCACTCGCCTCAGCCTCCCAAAGTGCTGGGATTATAGGTGTGAGCCACCGTGCCCGGCCCCAATCTTTTTTATAGTTTGTGGTTGGTTTGTCCTATCTAAAAAGTCTGCCTACCCAAAGGTTTTGAAGATTTTCAGCTTTCTTCTAGAAGTTGTATCACTTTATCATTTGCCATCAGGTCTTTAATCACTTCGAGTTAATGTTTATAAATGGTGTGAGAGAAGAGTCAAAGTCAGTATTTTCCAAATGAATATCTAGTTATTCCAAGACCATTTGTTGAAAAAAAAAAAAACTATACTTTTCCTCAATTGAATTTTCTTGGCACTTTTGTTAAAGCAACTGACATATGTGTGTGTGTGTGTGTCTATTTTCTGGGCTTCTTGTTTTGTTGGTCTATATATATCTTTCCTTAGCCAATATCATGCTTGCTTTATTGTTGTATCTATCTTTTTTTGTTGAGATGGGAGTCTTGCTCTGTTGCCAGGCTGGAGTACAGTGGCGCAATCTCGGCTCATGCAACCTCCGACTCCCTGGCTCAAGCGATTCTCCTGCCTCAACCTCCCGAGTAGCTGGGATTACAGGCACGCACCACCATGTCCAGCTAATTTTTGTATTTTTAGTAGAGACAGGGTTTCACCATGTTGGCCAGGATGGTCTCAATCTCCTGACCTTGTGATCCACCCACCTCGGCCTGCAAAACTGGTAGGATTACAGGTGTGAGCCATCGCTCCCGGCCTGTTGTATCTTTATACTAAGTCTTGAAATAAACAATGTAAGTTCTCTAATCCTGGCCAGGCGCGGTGGCGCACGCCTGTAATCCCAGCACTTTGTGAGGCCAAGACAGGTTCATTAGAACATCTTAACGATATTTAGTATTTCTATCTTTACGTGGTGTATCTATACGTTTATTTGTCTCATCAGTTTCTCTCAGCAACATATTGTGGTTTTCAATGCGAAGTCTTGAACAGCTTACTATTTCATTAATTTCATTTTCTAAGTGTCTCTCTCTGGCATATAAAAGTATAATTGATCTTTTATATCAGCCTTGCCTTCTGTGGCCTTGCTAAATTTGCTGTTAGTTCTAATAACTTTTTTTGTATATTCCTCAGAATTGTCTACCTAGACAAGCATTTTATCTGAGAATAATGAGATTTTTTTACTTGTTTCTTTCCAGTCTATATCCTTTTGTTGTTTCATTGCACCGGGTAGGATTTTCAGTACAAAAGTGAATAAATATTGAGATCTGACAATTTTGCATTGTTCCCTATGTTAGGGGAATGTGTTTGATCTTTCACTATGAAATAGGATATTGGCCGTAGGTTTCCAACAGATGTCCTTTATCAGATTGAGAAAGTTTCTTCTACTCATAGTTTACTGAAAGCTGTATGATGAATGGGTATTGGAAGTTTTCCAAATGCTTTTTCCACATCTATTTAGATGATCATATTGTTTTACTCCTTATTTGCTTAATGTGGTAAATCACATTGCTTTATTTTTTAATGTTAAACCAAACTTGCATTCCTAGGATTAACATTATCATAATACATGATCTTTTTTACATATTGCTGGGTTTGATTTGCTAAAATTCTATTTAAAAGAATATTGTGGCCGGGCGTAGCGGCTCACGCCTATAATCCCAGCACTTTGGGAGGCCGAGGCAGGTGGATTACCTGAGGTCAGGAGTTCAGGACCAGCCTAGCCAACACGGTGAAACCCCGTCTCTACTAAAAATATAAAAATCAGCTGGGCGTACTGGTGGGCGCCTGTAAGCCCAGCTACTCGGGAGGCTGAGACAGGAGAATTGCTTGAACCTGGGAGGCTGAGGTTACAGTAAGCCCAGATCGTGCCATTGCACTCCAGCCTGGGCAACAAGAGTGAAACTCCGTCTCAAAAAAAAAAAAAAAAAAAAAATATATATATATATATATATATATATATATATATATATATATATATATTGTTCCATAGTTTTCTCGTAACATTTTTCTGGTTTTAGTATCAGGATAATGCTGGTCTCATAAAATGAATTGAGTAGTGTTTTCTCCTCCTATATTTTAAGAAAGATGTGTAGGATTGGTCTAATATCATTAGCTAATGCTTGTTAGTAGTATTGTTCGAGTCTTTTAAATTTTTGCTGATTTTCTGTTCAATTGTTCTATCAGTTACTGACAGAACAGTGTTAAAAAATCTCCAACTATAATTGCAAATTGGTCTAATTGTCCTACCAGTTCTGCCCGTTTTTGCTTCATTTATTTTGTACTTAGGTTAGATTTATACACATTAGGAACATTATGTCTTCCTGATGAATTCACCCTTTTGTCATTATGAAATGTTCTTCATTTCTACTAACAAACAACCTTGTCCTTTGTCTCATATTAATGTAGCTATTCCAGCTTATGATTATTGTTTGCATATCTTTTCCCACCCTTTTACTGTTGACCTGTATTTAAAGTTCATGTCTTGTAGATATCATATGGTAGGCATCTTTTTTATCCACTGTCTCTACTTTTTAATTGGAGTGTTTAGATCAGTTATATTTACTTCTGTTTTATCTAATCTGTATTATTTCATCCAGTATTTTTTTCTTTTTACATTTTTTTTTTTTAGACAGAGTCCCCCCCCCCTCACACAAGCTGGAGTGCAGTGGCACGATCTTGGCTCACTGCAGCCTCCGCCTCCCAGGTTCAAGCGATTCTCACGCCTCAGCATCTTGGCTAGCTGGGATCACAGGAGCGTGCCACCATGCCTGGCTGATTTTTGTACTTTTAGTATAAAAGACCGGGTTTCACCATGTTGCCCAGGCTGGTCTTAAACTCCTGACCTCAAGTAATCCGCCCGCCTCAGCCTCCCAAAGTGCTGGGATTACAGGCGCGAGCCACTGCTCATTTCAGACATTGTGTGTTTCACCTCTACAAGTTCCACGTTGTCTCATTTTTTTCCCCTCATTTTGATCATGTTTTCCTTTAAACCCCTGTGCAGGTTTCTAATAGCTATTGTACTGTCCTCATCTGCTCATTCCATGCTCTGTCCTTTCTGGCTCTCCTTCTAATTGACTGATGTTTCTTCTGGTCAAGTGACATTTTGCTACATTTTTTTTCTCTGAATTATTTTTCTCTGCAGCTTGACGTTATTTAGATGTGTTTTAAAGCTTTTTCAGGACAGAGCTAGAGTAGTCTTTATTCTAGGCCTATTTTAGCAAACACCTTCAGCATGACCATTCTATCAACTGTATTAAATGCTCTGATTGTTCAATGAGGTCTCTTCAGTGTGGTTGTTGGACTATAAACATCTCCCAGCCCTCCGTGAGCTCTGGTTTTTTGCCTGGCCTGTGGACTTTTATTCTGTACATGCACATGTTAGTATTATTCGGCCACAAATTCAGAGAGACTTATGTGCAGATTATTAGGGTTCTTTCTATACATAGCTCTCTCGCGCGCCCACTCTATCTCCCCTCTCCATTCAGGGAAACCACTGTGCTTTTTTGTGCTGCCCCTCCCTACACTGCTGTCCAAAAATCGCTGCCAGCCAGAAAACTAGGAAAAATGTAGGATTCCTCCTTTTTGTTTCTCTGTTCTCAGACATCATGGTTCCTTTCCGCCTGTTTTCTAATGTCTGTAGACTGTCATTTCATAGACTGTGTCCAGTATTTTAGTTACTTTTGGCTGGAAGACAAGTTACTCCTGTTTTTCCTGTTACTCCTTCATGGACAAAAACAGACATCTTACTTCATTTTTGTTATCTTTGTTGTTTTGGAGGTTGTGTTTTATATGGGAGAGGGCTGTGTCTGACGGAGCTGTAGTGAAGTGGGGTCAGTGTTGGAGGGACTCCCAAGCCCTGTCTAACCTCTCGTGCTTCTCCTTTCTCCGTCAGGCGTCATTGCTGTGGTGATTTTCACCATCCTGTGCACCCTGGTCTTCCTGATCCGGTACATGTTCCGCCACAAGGGCACCTACCATACCAACGAAGCAAAGGGGGCGGAGTCGGCAGAGAGCGCGGACGCCGCCATCATGAACAACGACCCCAACTTCACAGAGACCATTGATGAAAGCAAAAAGGAATGGCTCATTTGAGGGGTGGCTACTTGGCTATGGGATAGGGAGGAGGGAATTACTAGGGAGGAGAGAAAGGGACAAAAGCACCCTGCTTCATACTCTTGAGCACATCCTTAAAATATCAGCACAAGTTGGGGGAGGCAGGCAATGGAATATAATGGAATATTCTTGAGACTGATCACAAAAAAAAAAACCTTTTTAATATTTCTTTATAGCTGAGTTTTCCCTTCTGTATCAAAACAAAATAATACAAAAAATGCTTTTAGAGTTTAAGCAATGGTTGAAATTTGTAGGTAATATCTGTCTTATTTTGTGTGTGTTTAGAGGTGTTCTAAAGACCCGTGGTAACAGGGCAAGTTTTCTACGTTTTTAAGAGCCCTTAGAACGTGGGTATTTTTTTTCTTGAGAAAAGCTAATGCACCTACAGATGGCCCCCAACATTCTCTTCCTTTTGCTTCTAGTCAACCTTAATGGGCTGTTACAGAAACTAGTTCGTGTTTATATACTATTTCCTTTGATGTCCTATAAGTCGGAAAAGAAAGGGGCAAAGAGAACCTATTATTTGCCAGTTTTTAAGCAGAGCTCAATCTATGCCAGCTCTCTGGCATCTGGGGTTCCTGACTGATACCAGCAGTTGAAGGAAGAGAGTGCATGGCACCTGGTGTGTAACGACACAATCAGCACAACTGGAGAGAGGCATTAAAGAACCAGGGAAGGTAGTTTGATTTTTCATTGAATTCTACAAGC
This sequence comes from Homo sapiens, assembly GCF_000001405.40. Lineage (NCBI taxonomy): Eukaryota > Metazoa > Chordata > Mammalia > Primates > Hominidae > Homo > Homo sapiens. The sequence goes on from NT_187564.1 coordinate 199,941, forward strand.
TAATATTGTTCCACGTATGTAGTCTTAGACCAATAGCTGTAACTATCAGCTGCAATACCATGGTGACCAGCTGTTACAAAAGATTTTTTCCTGTTTTATCTGAAACATACTGGATTTATATATGTATAAGCGCCTCAATGGGGAATTAGAGCCAGATGTTATGATTTGTTTGCTCTTTTTCTTTTATAGTTTAGTTATAGCAAAAATATGGATAATTTCTAGTGAATGCATAAATTAGGTTGCGTTTCTTATTTTGCTTTAAATCTCTGGTAGTTTTTCCACCCCTGTGACACAATCCTAATAGACAGTGTCCTGTAAATGGACACAACACAATAAAGTCAAGTTATTATTGCTGTTACTCTGGATGATATGGAAAACACTGCCATATTTTAAATCAACTACTCCACGTGTTTTTCCATCCAATCACACTGCTGTGATTCAGGGATCTTTCTTCTAAGACGGACACATTTGAACCTCAGGTTCATCACAAACCTGGTACCTGTTGCTTCCCAGAGGATGGAGAAGTGTAGTTAATCACACCTCTTAGTTTAATCTGAAATCTTGACCCAGTTATTTAACAAATAAATACCTCATTGATTATATTTAAAAGTAATACACTTCCTGTAAACAAATGGGGACAATGCATCCAAAAAATCTTTTTAAACAGATTACACAAAAATTATTTCCAGAAAGGCTACCATTTATCATCATTATATTTCAAGCCTCTTATACTTAATAAGCACTTTCTAAAAAGTCTTGAGATCCCACCATTCTGAGGAATTCAATATGATCACTTTTTCCTTCTTTGCCTGGGAGAGGTTAAGAGGAGGTTTCGAAGGTATAGATGCTATTGTTCTGATGGCCCGGCTGAATAAAATGGAAATTCTAGTTTGTTAGAATTATGCATTCTTTTTCAAGATTCTCAGTGTGCCTAACTTATTGGAGCACATCAGTTTCTTGGGTAATGGAAAACATTACCTAGAGTTGCCAGTGGCACATTACACCAGTACAGAGCACATTCCAAAGGAGACATTGGACCAGTTAATTCCCATACAAGTCAAGGTAACAGAACAAAAGGGAATCCTGATGCCCTTTTACCATTGCTGGTTGAGCTCAGGCACTGTCATGGACACCCTTAATTTTAAAAGGTTTTAATCATTCTTCTATAAAATACATTTAAAATGGAAAAATACTTAATATCACTAAATATCAGAACAATGTAACATTTACAAATGACATATTGAAAGCAAAGGCTGTTTTATTTAGCCAAGATGATTACCATTAGGAGTTACTTTATGTATTGTTGAAAGCAAATTTTAAACATGATGTTTTAGAAGTGTTTCTGATTTTTAAACCTGGTTTACAGGTATTACTTCTGCACTTACCAAATAATGCCAGATGGAAATTTATTATTTCTTGCAATTCCCATGATAGCTCTGTTCTTTATGCATTGTCTCAACACTTTCCCTTTTTTCCCAAAATGAGTAGAGAATTAAAGCCACCCAAAACAGCTTCTGCTACTAAAATGTTCTCATCCTTTCTCCTCCCTCTCCTTTTCCTGCCACAAAAGGTGAAAAATGAGATCCAATCCTCTCACCAAAATTTCAAACCTAGGACACTGGAATGACTGCAGGGATCAGTGGTTCTCCCATATCACCATCAATTAAGACATATAGGACACTGTCTTCCTTCAAGAGGGTTACAATGTGGCCATCAGACAGGAAACCAAACGGTGGATAAAGTATTAAGTAACTAAGTGCCAAATAAATGCTGGAAATCTTGACCTCTCCTTGGGATTATGGGTGTAACAAAAATCCCTACATCTGTTTATGAAGGCCATATTCAGTACATTTTAAATGGTAAATAATCTGTTTATGTGAAGAAAAAGAATTAAGTCTTTCTTCCAACTCTCTCCTTGGATAGCCTAGCACAGTGCAGCCTCCATAACCATGACATTCCCGCCCAAGCTCTCAGTGCCTAATCCTGCTTTGTCATTCACATCTCACAAAATCTTGACATCTTACATTCCAATACATTATCAAGCAAGCACAAGTATGCTGGTAGTAGCCTCTTTAAATAATATGTATAGACAACAACAACGACAAAAAATAGACTGTTTTAAAGTTTCAGGGAAAGTTGGTGGCTGATTTAAAGTTGTGCAGGAAACATCTTCTGTGTATGAAGCAAATGTCGATGTTTTGAAAAAAGCTAGGAGATGACTTTGAATGAATGCAAGGTTAGTGAGATCCTAAGCTCTCAAAATAGCATATTCCCTAGAGCTCAAGAAAGCTGGTCCAGGAGGTTGAAAAAGCTATTTTGTTGTTAAATTATTTTCTGGCCCTTCTTAATATTTAAAAATGTATTTCCCCTTGTGGCTTTCAACCACCTGCTCAAAAAAAGAGACTTGTTACATGAAAGTTTTCATTAAAGAGCTGAAAACAAGAATTTAGAGAGCCATTCCTAGAAAATGTCCTACTGCCCTGCATTTGACAAACAAGCATCCTTTACTAACAAGAGCAGGAATTCAGAGGCACAAGAAAAAGCATTGGCATGAGCCAAAGAGTCTGTCTTAATGTTACTTTTGAAAATCTGCTGAGCGGCCACCATATGCAGGCTGAGAGCTGGGCACAGGCGAAGCCATTGGAAGCACTTCAGGAACAAGCACACAGCTGTGGGACTTGAACATGCAAGTGTTCAGGTTGTGTCAAGAAGCTTTTCTTTCCTTCTATGATGGAATCTGTTCTTTTCTATCCTACTTTTTTCTCTCTTCCTCTCCTCACCACATTATACCCTGCTCTTACGCAGTAAACGTTTTAATGGCCCGTTTATGTCTCATGCCTCCAAACAACACTGAATTTGAAACCCCCCATTTTTTCTTTTCACCACCCTGTTGAGCAATTTTCCCAAAAAAAGGGCAGCAATTATTAAATTGAATTCAAGTAAGCCAGCCAAAGATAGGTCCTAAATTGCTAGTCCCAGTAGAACCACCTGATCCTAAACCAGTGCGAAACAAACAGTAACAATGTCCCCAGCTGACTTCAGCTAAGAACCAATGGCTCCTACCCCCGCCCCGCTTTTTTTTGTTGTTTTTTGTTTTGTTTTGAGACGGAGTCTTGCTCTGTCCCCCAGGCTGGAGTGCACTGGCGCAATCTCGGGCTCACTGCAACCTCCTCCTCCTCCCACATTGAGGCGATTCTCCTGCCTCAGCCTCCCAAGTAGCTGGGATTACAGGCACCCGCCATCACACCCAGCTAATTTTTTTTTTTTTTTGTATTATTAGTAGAAGCCAGGTTTCACCATGTTGGCCAGGGTGGTCTCGAACTCCTGACCTCAAGTGATCCGTCCACCTCGGCCTTGCAAATTGCTGGGATTACAGGTGTGAGCCACCGTGCCGAGCCAGCCCCATTTTTTAAATGATGTTTTGGTTAAGAGTGGACCATGAGAATTAGCTGACAGCATCCCCTTTCTCTCTCCCTGCCTTGGTGGGACCCTCCCTGTGTGACCTTGGTCAAGTCCTCGAACTTTTGTCCCGTATTTAAGATGGAGCTGTTTTACCTACTTCATAAGACAGTTGCGAGGTGCCATTGATTCTTGACTGCAAAATACCTTGAAACCCTTATATAAAGACTGAAGTCAACGGAGCCTAGTGAAAGACTTACTTTGTGGCTTGTGGTTGAAAGTCACATCAAAAGACAAATGTGGCCACGTTCAGGAATTGGAGACTTACTGGCATGGCTCTACAGCTGCTCAGTTATTAATCATGCAGACTAACCTGTCAACACTGGGAGATGCAACATAGCAAAAGGACAGAGAAATTAGAATTTTTTGTGCAGAAAGCCCTAAATTCCCACCTGAATGTAACTTACAGCTCCCTTACCTACTCTCACACATGCCCTCAAACATGCTAGATTGGCTTATACATAGGCCAACACAAAATACAAACGTGACGTGTTCATGTAGCCTAGTGGCTATATGCCTATTCTCCATGTACCCTGCATGGTAGTGCTGCAAACTTTAAAGTACATTTCTTTCACAGCAGTATTTTTTTTCATAAGTGGCATATAAATGTCATTCAATGAAATGGGGAAATCACGTTGAGAAGTTGGTCTGTCATCTCCCATTGAGCAAAGACTGGCAGGAGATAATAAAAATAAATATGGGCACACATGTATTAATATACAGCACGCATTTACAAGTTTATTTTCCAGATAAAATTGTGCTATAAGAACAGCTCTACCAAGACAGTCTGCACCATTTCCAAGTCTCAGTTAATTTACAGCAACTGCTGCTTTCGGAGATGGCTGTGAAAATATGGAAGTTCCTCTCAAGTAGGCCAAGAAACAGTTCTAGATTTTACTAAGTTTTATTTTGTCAGGTTTTTTAAATTTTTTCAGTGAGCGTGGTGACTGCAGAGGTTAGTGCTGTGAAAAGCTGGGCTAAATATTCTTTCTGTAAAGTCAAACAGGATTCCATCCCCTGTGAAATAACACAAAATTTCACTCTCTAAAAGCAACAGCATGTAAACTAGAATGAAAGAAGGAAATTATGTACGTATGCCTAATATTCTTTGTGAATGTCTTTCATTTAACTAAAATTATATTAGAAACCAGATTGATAAATAAAAAATTCAAAGTAGTTTTAATTATCCTAAAAGCGATTCTTCGTGTTTTGTACCACTTGTCTCTCTTAAGAGCAATTTTCAACCTTCAGCAAAAGTTAAGTTCCAAGCACTGAAATATAAGCCTACTGAGAATATCGTCTTTCCACAAGTTGTGGAGATATAGTCACTCCTAAAAGGTCTGATTTGGGTACGTCCATGGTTAACCTCCTACCACAAATAGCTCCCCGTTAAAAGAGGAGTTTTTCTTAAAGTGGCTTAGTAGACATTGACTTTGGTTAGTTTACACCCATCTTGATAAAATGTGGTTCGAGTTCAGTTATCTCCAGAATATATTCTGATCCTTATTTGGAATGAGGGAGTAACACTGGATAGTGGGCACATGGATCCAAGCCAGGGAACTAGACAGCAAGGACTCGGCATGCATCGGAGGTGCGAAGCTTCCTAAATGCACTCCGTGTGCTTTTAGAGCTAAGTTATTACTCTCACTTGCTAGTTGTTCTGCAGCGAGCAGCTCTATGCAAACCACCCCTGCAAACCAAGGAAGCTGAGAGGCCAAAGAAAGAGGCTGAGAATTCCAATTTCTCAGAAAGAAACATTTCATAGGGAATTACAAACAGAGGCCATGTCTCAGGCAGCCACTAGACAGATGATGAATGCCTGCACTGTTACCCCCCCATGCCCCCCACACCCTGGACCCAGGGCTTATCCACCATAGGGAAAGGGTCTACAGACTTAAGAAGGGATGTGTAAGACAATTGCTTAAGGGTAGGGTTTACAGTAAGTATGATAACATCAGAGTTGTTTTGACCTAAGGGTGGGATTTATGGTTAAGTACATGCCTTTACATAAGGAATCACAGAGAAAATAAAAACCTTAGAGGCATTCCTGGAGGAACTGGAGTTAATCAGAACTCAACATAGCAGATTCACATTCAAGATGAAGTTGCTTAGCCTCCACACTGGTCTTCAATGACCATGACTATTGGGAAGCCATTTCCTTTTAATCAATTCTCAGTGAGGCATCTAAACGTATACCAAATAAATGTGAATTCCAGTTAAAAGCCCAAGTCCTCTGTTCTTCAGCAATCCCCAAGGCCAATCAATAGCAATTGCACTGCAGTATGTTCAGAAAGCATCAAGCGTCAAAAAGATTGGTCATGAATGCTTCGCGAATGTGATCCAACAGGTACAGAGAGAATGTCATCAAGTCCCTTGAGAAAAGAAAATCTGCACCATGAAAGTTCTTAACAAATTTTAAAAAGATGAGTCAGCAAGTTGAGGGTTTAACATCGCCAACAAAAGGTTTTGGCCACAATATGCTGACTTCCTTTCTCTGTCCCAGCAACAATAAACTCTGTATACATACATATGTTCCAGGAGGATAGCAACTTTCTTTTGTACAAATAAACGCCCTTCATATCCATGGGTTCCTCATGCAGATTCAACTGACCTCAGATCAAAAATAGTCAAAAAAGTTTAAATTAACAATGCAAAAAAATACAAATTAAAAGAGTACAAGTGATTCTCAATTTATGATGGAATTGGTTACATGCTGATAAACACATCATAAATTGAAAATATTGTAAGCAGAAGTGTGTTTTCCACTTAAGATATTTTTTATTTACCCTGGGTTTATCCGGGTCATAGCCCCATCCAAGTCAAGAAATATACTGAATGTGTATCACTTTTACATCATCATAAAATCAAGAAACCATAAGCCAAACCATCATAAATCAGGGACCTTCTGTATACTATATACATAGCATTTACATTGTATCAGGTATTATAAGTAATCTAGAGATTATTTAAATTAGATGGGAGGATGTATCTAGGTTATATGCAAATATGTACCATTTTATATAAGGGACGTGAGCATCCATGGATTTTGGTATCTGCAGGGAGTCCTGGAACCAATTCCCCATGGATACTGAGGGACAACTGTATTTGTTTAATTAATGGGTGTGGGGGAGCAGAGACGGGTAGGAGAGGAGGTTATAGGAAACTCACGGTCTTTGCAACTGGCAGACCAAGAGACTGCCCCTGGTGCCTATGCCACCAGGGCCCTGGGTTTCAAGTAGGAAGTTATATTGAAGAAAATATGTCTAGTTTTACACTTTGCCAGTTACAACATGGCATAACAGACAACAAAGTATAGAAAAGAGGAAATAACTGGGCTATTTTTCAAGAAGGGGTTCATATCCTCCCAAATTAACTCAGGTACAAAAGCTAACTCTTTAAAGAAAGTATTATGTGAGTAACCATTAGCATGTGTTTACCTTTTTTTGGTCACTTTGAAAACCATGAGCTGAATAATCCCTGCACCTGAAGATTTTGTTCTACCAGCAACCCCCTCTTGTTCAAACACACCCAACATGCTACAAAGGACCACTGCTCAAAGCAGTTTTGCCACAAAAAAATGCAAGTTTTCTTTTCTCATCATGTTTTCATGATCTTTCCATTCATCTTACTTCATCTTCTGGATAGATGGTAAGTAAATAAGTCTCTGGGGACAGGAACTAAACTCTATGCCAAGTCTTCACCAAAAGAAAATAACAAATAGCTTATCTTTTTCAGTTCTCTGACCTAACATGAGAAAGTCATTTCTTTTAAAAATATAAATGTAAAATTATAAGATTTAAATTAAAACCTGACAGGTGAAACTCAGAGATGAACTTATTTTGTATTCACAAATTGAAATTTGCAAGATAAAATTCTTAAGTCTAGGAAGGCTAAAATGGGATACAGGGGCAACCTTTTAAGTCATGAAAGATGTAGAGAGGGAAAGTGCAAGCTTGCTCCCTAAGACCTCAGGGCAAAGAGCAACCTTTGAAGCCAGAAAGAAGGCACATTTAGGACAAATAAAGGAAAAAAACACTCCAAAGAGCACCTAGTATGATTTGTTGCAGGTTAAAAAAATTAAATACAGACTTTTTATATATAAATATATATATACAAGCATGCATATATCTTCCCAAAATGACTGAGATTACTTCAATAATTACCCTAACATATGGATTTCAAAGGGGAATCAAGACTATGGAATTCATTTCATAAATATTTATGGAGTATCCCCTACGTGCTTGGCACCATTCAAGACTCTAGGAATTGACTAGAAAACAAGACAGGCGCATCCCTTCCAGTTAACAGGAACAGAAAACCAAATACCACAGTTTCACTTATAAGTAGGAGCTAAATGATGAGAACATATGGACACACAGAGGGGAACAACACACACTGGGTACCTTTAGAGGGTGGAGGGTGGGAGGAGGGAGAGGATCAGGAAAAATAACTAATGGGTACTAGGCTTAATACCTGGGTGATGAAATAATCTGTGCAACAAACCTCCATGACACAAGTTTATCCATGTAACAAACCTGCACTTGTACCCCTGAACTTAAAATATAAGTCAAAAGGATTTGCTGGCAAGATGACCGAATAGGCACAGCTCCAGTCTGCAGCTCCCAGTGAGATCAAAGCAGAAGACGGGTGGTTTTTGCATTTCCAACTGCAATTCCAACTGAGGTACCTGGTTCATCTCATTGGGACTGGTTGGACAGTGAGTGCAGCCCACAGAGGGTGAGCCAGAGCAGGGTGTGGCATCGCCTCACCCAGGAAGCACAAGGGGTGGGGGATCTCCCTCCCCCAGCCAAGGGAAGCCATAAGAGGCTATACTGGGAGGAATGGTGCACTCTGGCCCAGATACTGTGCTTTTCCCATGATCTTCACAACTGGCAGACCAGGAGATTCCCTCTGGTTCCTAAGCCACCAGGGGCCCTGGGTTTTAAGCACAAAACTGGGCAGCCATTTGGGCAGATACCAAGCTAGTTGCAGTTTTTTGTTTGTTTGTTTTGTTTTTCATACTCCAGTGGCACCTGGAACACCAGTGAGACAGAACCATTAACTCCCCCGGAAATGGGGCTAAAGACAAGGAGCCAAGTAGTCTGGCTCAGCAGGTCCCACCCCCGTGGAACCCAGCAAGCTAAGGTCCACTGGCTTGAAATTCTTGCTGCTAACACATCAGTCTGAGGTTGACCTGGGACGCTCAAGCTTGGTGGTGGGAAGGGCGTCCGCCATTGCTGAAGCTTGAGTAGGCAGTTTTACCCTCACAGTGTAAAAAAAGTCACCGTAAAGTTTGAACTGGGTGGAGCCCACTGTGGCTCAGCAAGTCCGTTGCAGCCAGACTGCCTCTCTAATTCCTTCTCTCTGGGCAGGGCATCTCTGAAAAAAAGGCAGCAGCCCCAGTCAGGGACTTACAGATAAAACCCCCATCTCCCTGGAACAGAGCACCCGGGGGAAAGGGCAGCTGTGGGCACAGCTTCAGCAGACTTAAATGTCCCTGACTGACAGCTCTAAAGAGAGCAGTGGATCTCCCAGCACAGTGTTCAAGCTCTGCTAAGGGACAGGCTGCCTCCTCAAGTGGGTCCCTGACACTTATGTATCCTGACTGGGAGACACCTCCCAGTAGGGGCCGACAGACACTTCATACAGGAGTGCTCTGGCTGGCATCTGGAGGGTGCCCCTCTGGGACAAAGCTTCCAGAGGAAGGAACAGGCAGCAGTCTTTGCTGTTCTGCAGCTTCCACTGGTGATACCCAGGCAAACAGGGTCTGGAGTGGACCTCCAGCAAACTGCAGCAGACCTGCAGTAGAGGGGCCTGACTGCTAGAAGGAAAACTAACAAACAGAAGGAATAGTATCAACATCAACAAAAAGGATGTCTACTCAAGAGACCCCATCCGAAGGTCACCAACATCAAAGATGAAAGGTAGATAAATCTTCAAAGATGGGGAGAAACCAGCATAAAAAGGCTGAAAATTCAAAAAACAAGAACGCCTCTTCTCCAAAGGATCACAGCTCCTCGCCAGCAAAGGAAAAAAAGTGGATGGAGAATAAATTTGACGAATTGACAGAAGTAGGCTTCAGAAGGTGGGCAACAACAAATTCCTCCGAGCTAAAGGAGCAAGTTCTAACCCAATGCAAGGAAGCTAAGAACCTTGAACAAAGGTTAGACGAATTGCTAACTAAAATAACCAGTTTAGAGAAGAACATAAATGACCTGATGCAGCTGAAAAACACAACACAAGAGCTTCGTGAAGCATACACAAGTATCAAAAGCCGAATCGATCAAGCAAAAGAAAGGATATCAGAGATTGAAGGTCAACTCAATAAAATTAAGCGAGAAGACAAGATGAGAGAAAAAAGAATGAAAAGAAATGAACAAAGCCTCCAAGAAATATGGGACTATGTGAAAAGACCAAACCTACTGAGAGGTGACAGCGTGCTGGCAGTCCTCACAGCCCTCGCTCGCTCTCAGCACCTCCTCTGCCTGGGCTCCCACTTTGGCGGCACTTGAGGAGCCCTTCAGCCCACCGCTGCACTGTGGGAGCCCCTTTCTGGGCTGGCCAAAGCCGGAGCCGGCTCCCTCAGCTTGCAGGGAGGTGTGGAGGGAGAGGTGCAAGCGGGAACCGGGGCTGCGCACGGCGCTTGCAGGCCAGCTGGAGTTCTGGGTGGGCGTGGGCTTGGCAGCCCCGCACTCGGAGCAGCCAGCCGGCCCTGCCGGCCCCGGGCAATGAGGGGCTTAGCACCCGGGCCAGCAGCTGCGGAGGGTATACTGGGTCCCCCAGCAGAGCCGGCCCACCGGCGCTGCGCTCGATTTCTCACTGGGCCTTAGCTGCCTTCCCGTGGGGCAGGGCTCAGGACCTGCGGCCCACCATGCCTGAGCCTCCCACCCCCTCCGTGGGCTCCTGTGCAGCCCGAGCCTCCCCAACGAGCACTGCCCCCTGCTGTACGGCACCCAGTCCCATTGACCACCCAAGGGCTGAGGAGTGCAGGCACACGGCGCGGGACTGGCAGGCAGCTCCACCTGCAGCCCCAGTGCGGGATCCACTGGGTGAAGCCAGCTGGGCTCCTGAGTCTGGTGGGGACCTGGAGAACCTTTATGTCTAGCTCAGGGATTGTAAATCCACCAACTGCACTCTGTATCTAGCTCAAGGTTTGTAAACACACCAATCAGCACCCTGTGTCTAGCTCAGGGTTTGTGAATATACCAATCGACACTCTGTATCTAGCTACTCTGGTGGGGCCTTGGAGAGCCTTTGTGTGGACACTCTGTATCTAGCTAATCTGGTGGGGTCGTGGAGAACCTTTGTGTCTAGCTCAGGGATTGTAAACGCACCAATCAGCGCCCTGTCGAAACAGACCACTGGGCTCTACCAATCAGCAGGATGTGGGTGGGGCCAGATAAGAGAATAAAAGCAGGCTGCCCGAGCCAGCATTGGCAACCCGCTCGGGTCCCCTTCCACACCGTGGAAGCTTTGTTCTTTCGCTCTTTGCAATAAATCTTGCTACTGCTCACTCTTTGGGTCCACACTGCCTTTATGAGCTGTAACACTCACCGCGAAGGTCTGCAGCTTCACTCCTGAGCCAGCGAGACCACGAACCCACCAGAAGGAAGAAACTCCGAACACATCTGAACATCAGAAGGGACAAACTCCAGATGCACCATCTTAAGAGCTGTAACACTCACCGTGAGGGTCCGCAGCTTCGTTCTTGAAGTCAGTGAGACCAAGAACCCACAAATTCTGGACACACTATGTTTGATTGGTGTACCTGAAAGTGACAGGGAGAATGGAACCAAGTTGGAAAACACTCTTCAGGATATTATCCAGGACAACTTCCCCAACCAAGCAAGACAGGCCAACATTCAAATTCAGGAAATACAGAGACCACCACAAAGATACTCCTGGAGAAGAGCAACCCCAAGACACATATCATCAGTTTCACCAAAGTTGAAATGAAGGAAAAAATGTTAATGGCAACTACAGAGAAAGGTTAGGTTACCCACAAAGGGAAGACCATCAGACTAACAGCGGATCTCTCAGCAGAAACCCTACAGGCCAGAAGAGAGTGGGGGCCAATATTCAACATTCTTAAAGAAAAGAATTTTCAACCCAGAATTTCATATCCAGTCAAACTAAGCTTCGTAAGCAAAGGAAAAATAAAATCCTTTACAGACAAGCAAATGCTGAGAGATTTTGTCACCACCAGGCCTGCCTTACAAGAGCTCCTGAAGGAAGCACTAAACATGGAAATGAAAACTAGTACCACCCACTGCAAAAACATACCAAATTGTAAAGACCATCTGTGCAATGAAGAAACTGCATCAACTAATGGGCAAAATAACCAGCTAGCATCATAATGACAGGATCAAATTCACACATAACAACATTAACCTTAAATGTAAATGAGCTAAATGCCCCATTTAAAAGACACAGACTGGCAAATAGGATAAAGAGTCAAGACCATTGTGGGCCAGGTGCAGTGGCTCATGCCTGTAATCCCAGCACTTTGGGAGGTCAAGGAGGGTGGATCACAAGGTCAGGAGATCAAGACCATTCTGGCTAACATGGTGAAACCCCGTCTTTACTAAAAAACACACACACAAAAAAAAATAGCCAGGCGTGGTGGCAGGTGCCTGTAGTCCCAGCTACTCAGGAGGCTGAAGCAGGAGAATGGCATGAACCCGGGAGGCAGAGCTTGCAGTGAGCCGAGATCACGCCACTGCACTCCAACCTGGGTGACAGAGCGAAATTCCATCTCAAAAAAAAAAAAAAAAAAAAAAAGACCCATCAGTGTGCTGTATTCAGGAGACCCATCTCATGCAAAGAAAAACATAGGCTCAAAATAAAGGGATAGAGGAATATTTACCAAGCAAATGGAAAGCAAACAAGCAGGATTTGCAATCCTAGTCTCTGTTTAAACAGACTTTAAACCAACAAAGATCAAAAGAGACGAAGAAGGGCATTACACATAACGGTAATGGGATCAATGAAACAAGAAGAGCTAACTATCCTAAATACATATGCACCCAATACAGGAGCACGCAGATTCATAAAGCAAGTTCTTAGAGGCCTACAAAAACACTTAGACTCCCACACAGTAATATTGGGAGACTTTAGCACCCCACTGTCAATATTAGATCAATGAGACAGAAAATTAATAAGGATATCCAGGACTTGAACCCAGCTCTGGACCAAGCAGACCTAATAGACATCTACAGAACTCTCCACTCCAAATCAACAGAATACACGTTCTTCTCAGCACCACGTCGCACTTATTCTAAAACTGACCACATAATTGGAAGTAAAACACTCCTCAGCAAATGCAAAGGAATGGAACTCATAACAAACAGTCTTTCAGACCAAAGCGCAATCAAATGAGAACTCAGGATTAAGAAACTGACTCAAAACCACACAATGACATGGAAACTGAACAACCTGCTCCTGAATGACTACTGGGTAAATAACGAAATGAAGGCAGAAATAAAGATGGTCTTTGAAACCAATGAGAACAAAGACACAATGTACCAGAATCTCTGGGACACATTTAAAGCAGTGTGTAGAGGGAAATGTATAACACTAAATGGTCACAAGAGAAAGCAGGAAAGATCTAAAATCGACACCCTAACATCACAATTAAAAGAACTAGGGAAAGCCAGGCACGGTGACTGACACCTGTAATCCCAGCACTTTGGGAGGCCAAAGTGGGTAGATTGCCTGAGGTCAGGAGTTCAAGACCAGCCTGGCCAACATGGTGAAACCCCGTCTCTACTAAAAATACAAAAATTAGCTAGGCGTGGTGGCACACACCTGTAATCCCAGCTACTCAGGAGTCTGAGAAAGGAGAATTGCTTGAGCCTGGGAGGCAGAGGTTGCAGTGAGCCGAGATTGTGCCACTGCACTCCAGCCTGGCCAACAGAGCAAGACTCTGTCTCAAAAAAAAAAAAAAAAAAAAAAGAAGAAGAACTAGAGAAGCAAGAGCAAACAAATTCAGAAGCTAGCAGAAGACAACAAATAACTAAGGTCAGAGCAGAACTGAAGGAGATAGACACGAAAAATCCTTCAAAAAATATGAATCCACGAGCTGGTTTTTTGAAAAGATCAACAAAATAGACCGCTAGCCAGACTAATAAAGAAGAAAAGAGAGGCCGGGCGAGGTGGCTCACGCCTGTAATCCCAGCACTTTGGGAGGCTGAGGTGGGCGGATCATGAGGTCAGGAGATCGAGACCATCCTGGCTAACACAGTGAAACCCCATCTCTACTAAAAATACAAAAAATTAGCCAGGCATGGTGGCAGGCGCCTGTAGTCCCAGCTACTCTGGAGGCTGAGGCAGGAAAATGGTGTGAACCCAAGAGGTGGAGCTTGCAGTGAGCCGAGATCATGCCACTGCACTCCAGCCTAGGCAATAGAGCGAGACTCCGTCTCAAAAAAAAAAAAAAAAATTTACAAGAAAAAAACAATGCCATAAAAAAGTGGGCAAAGGATATGAACAGACACTTCTCAAAAGAAGACATTTATGCAGCCAACAGACATATGAGAAAAGCTCATCATCACTGGTCATCAAAGAAATGTAAATAAAAACCATGATGGGATACCATCTCATGCCAGTTAGAATGGTGATCATTAAAAAGTCAGGAAACCACAGATGCTGGAGAGGATGTGGAGAAACAGGAAGACTCTTACACTGTTGGTGGGAGTGTAAATTAGTTCAACCACTGTGGAAGACAGTGTGGTGATTCCTCAAGGATCTAGAACTAGAAATACCATTTGACCCAGCAACCCCATTACTGGGTATATACCTAAAGGATTATAAATCATTCTACTATAAAGACACAGGCACACATGTTTATTGCAGCACTGTTCACAACAGCAAAGACTTGGAATCAACCCACATGCCCATCAATGATAGACTGGATAAAGAAAATGTGGCACATATACAACATGGAATACTATGCAGCCATAAAAAAGGATGAGTTCATGTTCTATGTGGCACATATACAACATGGAATACTATGCAGCCATAAAAAAGGATGAGTTCATGTTCTATGTGGCACATATACAACATGGAATACTATGCAGCCATAAAAAAGGATGAGTTCGTGTTCTTTGCAGGGACATGGACAAAGCTGGAAACCATCATTCTCAGCAAACTAACTCAGGAACAGAAAACCAAACACCACATGTTCTCACTCGTAAGTGGGAGTTAAACAATGAGAACACATGGACACAGGGGTGGGGGGCATCACACACCGGGGCCTCTCAGGGTTGGGAGCTGGGGGAGGGATAGCATTAGAAGAAATACCTAATGTAGATGACTGGGTGATGGCTGCAGCAAACCACCATGGCACGTGTATACCTATGTAACAAACCTGCACGTTCTGCACATGTACCCCAGAACTTAATGTATAACTATATATATATGTTAAAAAATAAAATAAAATTCCAGTTAAAAGCCCAGCTCCTCTGTTCTTCAGCAATCCCCAAGGCCAATCAAAAGGCAGTGTAGGCTGGGCGCGGTGGCTCATGCCTGTAATCCCAGCACTTTGGGAGCCTGAGGTGGATGGATCACTTGATGTAAAGAGCTTGAGAACAGCCTGGACAACCTGGTGAAACCCCGTCTCTACCAAAAACAAACAAACAAAAAATTAGCCGAGCATGGTTGTGGGCTCCTGTAATCCCAGCTACTCTGCTACTCTGGAGGCTGGGGCACGAGAATCACTTGAACCTGGGAGGCGGAGGTTGCAGTGAGCTAAGATCGCGCTACTGCACTCCAGCCTGGGCGACAGAGTGAGACTCTGTCTCAAGAAAACAAAAAGGTTGGGGGGCAGTGTAGGAGCTGATTAAAATCAGCTTGGTTGAGGGGCACGAGTGAGGGAAATCCATCCAGACTCCAAACCACAGGATCCCTGCTCTGCAGCAGGACTTCCTCCTGCCTTGAACTCACCAGGAACTGCACCTGTCCTCCTGAGGGATCATGGCTAACACCTCCAGGGGAAAATGAGCTCACAGAGGGAAAAGGAAACACCAGGCATTTGGGAAAGATAACTGCTAGAAATGAAACATATTGAGCAGCCAGTACTTGAACTGGCATTATGGGGACAGATGCAAAAATCTAAACAAGTTTAAAAATATCGTCCCAGAAGAAAAAATATTCAACAAAGCAAGAAACAGCAGTTGTAAAGAACAATCAGATAAAACACTAAAAACTATAGCTGAAAGAAACTCAAAAGATACAAAATGTGCACAGCTGAATAATTATTGTACAGTCTATGATAAGTGTTGGTGGAGAATGTGGGGATAGTGAACTCCCTGTTGCTCTTTGGGAGGGAAAGTAAATGGGGTATAACCATTGAGGAAATTCATGCGGCAGTAGTAAGTAGAATTTTATAGAGAGAGACACATATGCACACATAAACACACCCGCATACACACACACACACATGCATACATATGTTGCAACTTAATGAACCCACTGCTGGGTAAAAGTCATGTTCGAGGCTGCTCACCTCGGTGGTGAGTGTAGCAGTGATTTGAATGTAAGTACAGCATCACAGTTTTTTTTTTTTTTTTTTTTTTTTTTGAGACAGAGTCTCGCTCTGTCACCCAGGCTGGAGTGCAGTGGTGCAATCTCGGCTCACTGCAACCTCCACCTCCCGGGTTCAAGCCATCCTCCTGCCTCAGCCTCCCAAGTAGCTGGGATTACAGGCAACCGCCAGCACGCCCAGCTAATTTTTGTATTTTTAATAGAGACGGGGTTTCACCATATTGGTTAGGCTGGTCTTGAACTCCTGAACTCGGGTGATCCACCCACCTCGGCCTCCCAAAGTGATGGAGTTACAGGCATGAGCCACCACATCTAGCCAGCATCACAGTTTTTGAAACTCTGCACTACCACTTACTAGCTTCTTGATCTTTTTTGGCTTTATTTTTTCTGCAAAATGGGGATAATGATGTAACTTACCACGTCGGGTTATTGTAAAGATTAAATTAGTCAATACCTATAAAGTGCTTAGAACAGTGCCTGACATAGTAAGCGCTCCATAAATTATAGCTTTAAAACAATCTTTTTTAATGAACAGAAACCCAACCCTAGGGTAATTCCCCAGAGAAGTTCCTGCAAAGGTCCATAAGGGGAAAGGTATGAGACACACATAGGACTGTCAGTGATAACCGGGAGTTGTAGACACCCAAGGTTTATGTAAAATAAGGTAGACACGTGCTATGCAAAATCATACAGAGGTCAGAAGCCATTATAATAAAGTAGATACATACACAGCAATATTAAATCTTCTATCTTAAAAATACAGTACAAAGTGAATAAACCAAGAAACAAAAAGTCATAAAATAATGTAAATTATTAAAAGTTAAAAACGTACACAGAACTATAGATACCTGAAAAATTTAGGATATGTATATGTACATATCCTTCTGAAATATGTTATATATAAAATAAAATATAGTCATTATCTAGAGGGGAGAAGGAATGGGAGTGGGGTTGAGATATAAATAAAATAAAGCAAGAGAGACCTTGCATAGCCTATTGATAAAATGCCATATTCTGAAAAGTATCATCAACTCAACTCCTAGCCCCTTAGGGGAACTGAGAGAGAGAGAAAGAGAGAGCACAAGAGAGAATACAAGAGGCTGGTTGCAGGTAGCACAACTAAATCAGGAATGCAAAGGGTAGAGGCATGGCTGTATGGCAGGAAATGTAACAGCTAATACAGTCAATCAATCAATCAATATTAGTAAGTGGGCAAAGACAATGTGAAAGGAGAGCTTGCAGTACAGCATTTCTGTTCGTTTAAATGCAATAATGTTCCTCATATTACAGAACTGAAGGAAATTAAAGGACAAAGGTCAGAGGCTTTCCCTCCCATTCTGCAAAGTAACACACACCAAACCCTTTTCAAGGATGTGGAGCAGAAATGACACCTCACTACCCCTGAATGCAGTTTCAGAGAAGCTATCTCTACTCTGAACTGGCCTGAACGTGACTTTGCTAGAGTTTGACTTCTAATTCATGGATGGAATAACTTACAATAAATGTGAAATAATTTTTTTAACTAGGGTTGATATGAGATTTAAAATTGCTGTATATATCTAGTTTATTACTTCTGACTTCTGTATGGCTGTCCACAGCCTTCTGCTGGTTTTTCTGAAGCTGGGCCAGGGGGCAGATGTCACCTATTATATACCTCATTGTAAATTAAATGTTCCTGGTTAAATCACAGATCTTGCTAGAAGCACGCCCTGGGCTTTGTCAAAAATACAAGGAGCTGCTAGAATATATTTCTGAGTGATCAAGTTATAACTCCCCTAAATTAAATTTACAGTAGAGCTTATTCACTTTTATTCCAAGCAGTAACCATGGCACTCGCGTTAAATCATTACAAGTGCAGCAGATATATTGATTACTGCCAGGCCTGTCATTACCAATCTCAGTTTACGCACGCTGCAGCGAACTGTAAAGTTTAATTAGTATCCCCGTCTGGTGTTGTAAAACACAAGTCTGGACATATGGGAAAGAAAGATGAGTTAATGTGAATCATCTTGAAAACATGAAACCAGCAGACAGAGCAAAGCAGATAGCTGAACTTGTTCTGAATCAAAGTTATTTGCCTTGACATCTGTGCTGCATTATGCAATTGGGTTGGGAGAAAATATTCACTTAATCTTCTCAAGAAGACAACTATTATTCTGCGACGATTGAGGAGGAGGAGCAAATAGCAGCCATTGGGTCATGCGACAAAGTGACTCGGAAACACGTGGATTGCTGCATTGGCCATCTCTAGACACAGTCACGAACAGAAGCTCTGAGGGACAGGGCCCTGTAGAAACCAACCGGCTGTCCTCCATGCCACCAACTCTAAAAAGGGGTGAGGTTGACACCTCAGGTGTATCACTGGCACTCTTTGGGACCCTATGCTCTTAAGTCTATCACCAAAACACCAGGGGTTCCGTCTAGGTCCTGCTGTTCCCTGCACAGAAAGCCAATCACTGAGATGACCATTCTTGCCAAGGAAGAAGGCGATAATCAGGTGCTACAGCTGAGGAAATGAGAGATCAATCTCTCTGACCACTAAAATTAGGAGTTTATATAGCAGGGAAGAAATGTAACAACGTACATAATTTCCTGGCCTCCTCCAGCCCAGCATCCTTCCCTCCACCTGGCCTCAGCAGCTCCTTCCATAGGTTTCTTCCGTAGCAGGGAAGAAATGTAACAATGTATGAGAAAACAGGAACTCAGTAAAGAAGCAATCATGATGAATGAGAGGCCTGGAGTCTTACTGCATGCAAAGATCTGGTGAGTTTCAGTTCTCTGATACTTTTTCAGAGGCCTGGGGGTCCTTTCCTGAGGAAAGACCTCAGATAAATATTAAGTTTCAGGCTTTAAGACCAAGAGGGTCAATTTCTATGTTAAATAAGTAAATAAATGTGTAGAACTACTGGGTCAGTTTCAAGTCCTTCATAAATTAATCCAAACTTTAAAAAATGTAATCATATTTCCTGTTCTTACCACCTTTAGGATTCACAAGAATTATGTCCTCTTCTTGGGGAACGGAATTCGCTTAGCTTTCACAGTGACCAGCCAGCACAAGGGGAGGGGAACTGGATGGCACCGAAGAATGTCCCACCAAAGTTCCATGCAGAATGCTCAGCCTGACATCTCCAGCCCCAGGCACCCTCTCTGCCTCCCTCCCTCCCTCTGCAGGAGCCGTAACTTCAAGGTGAAGGGGATGTCCTCACCACGTCCTGATCCCCACTGTGGACCCACTCAGTCAACTCCTCTCACCTGATCCATTCTCCCCGGATGCCCGCTGCTTCTCAGCCTTTCAGCAGAGCCCTGAAAGCAACCCTCTAATCACTGAGCCCTCTGTCAGTGTTCTCTAAGCCTGCCTGGCCCTTTGCTTATTGGCTTTTCCTCATCGTGACCACCTGTGCAGGATCTTCACTTCCCCAGCACCTGCAGCCCCGGACCAGGAAGGCCCAGCCCTTCTGGGCTCTGCCTTTCGCCTTTTCCAAACTTCCCATCTCCCACAGCCCTGCTTGCTCCTCCACTGGAGCCCCAGCTACCAGTCTTCCTTGATGCTAACCAGGCCTGGGTAGAACTTGCAGAGCCCAGTCCAAAATAAACAAGTGACTGACAAGAACGGGGAAGTCGATCTCCCCTTCCCAGGGCCTGCCTCCCAAACCCACACGGACAGAGAACCAAAGGGACTGCAACCTCTGCACCCATGCACTTGGCACTTAGATGAGGGGATGAGCAAGAACCCTCACCAGGTTCCTGCAAGCACACCAGGAAGAGCCAGCATGGGGAGGGGGTGGCCATCACCTACCCTCACCCGGAGATGCCACACCCAGCACACCTGGCTCCACTGTTTCCACTCCTGCACTCAGTCCCCCATGGGGCAGAGAGCGAAGGCAAAACACAGAAACACAGACATCACGCCTCTACCACATATCCTGTCGCAGACTCAGGCTGAGGACAGCCAGGATCCCAGGGCAGGTGGCCAGGGGGAGCTGGGTCAGACTCAGGCACAGGAGGCAGCTAGGAACAGTCCTTGAGAGGCCCTGGGAGGCAGACAGTGCAGGAACAGAGACTCCAAGCCCCAGGCATGCTCCACTGCCCATTGGACCTTCCTTGCAAAACACATGCTCTAAGATAAAATTAGGATTTCAGGGGGCAAGCATGAAAACTCTGGGCTCAGTGGCCCACACAGACCAACCTGAAGATGATGCCAACTCACCCACCTCATAATTTCCTGGCCTCCTCCAGTTCAGCATCCTTCCCTCCACCTGGCCTCTGCAGCTTCTTCCGTAGGTTTTGCTCTGGACCCTGTCAACCTGAGGGGAGAGCCACAGCTCAAGGCAGAATCCTGAGTTTAGAGGCTCCACCCAGCCAGGCGAGGTGGAGGTATAGAGTTCCACTTACTGTGGTGGCTGAGGCCTGAGGCAGGAGTGAAACGGGAGAGTTCTCTGAACCTCTCGCGGGACTTGCAACAAGGGTGTGGCCTGTTTGCTTGGCCACCATGTACTCAAACCCCTTACAAGAGGGGGAAACATGCAGACAGACAGGTGCAGGAGCTGGGATGAGTGCTTTTGGGCTCCAGCCGCATAGTAGTGAAACAGGAAAAGTTCCCTTGTCCCCCTCACAGGGCGTGTGACAGGGGAGTGGCTTGCTTCTTCAGTGCCCCACTGCTCAAACCTCTAGGGGAGCATACAGACGGGCAGGTTGTGGGGCTGCAACCTCATGGCAGTGTGTAGGGGTGAGTGTTTATAGCTCCTAAAGCCCCAGTGGGCATGTGTTACAGGGCGCTTTTTTAATTTAGCCATCTGCAGGTGGCTTGTGTTAGCTCAATTAGACTCTCTTCCTTATCACAAGGACAGAGGGATTTCTGTATCCCGGAGTTTCTTACCTTGGTGTACTGGAAGAACTGGATCGCATGTGGGCTTGGAGAATGAGTTCAAGGTTTTATTGAGTACAAGTAGCTCTCAGCAGATGGGGGAGCCAGAAGGGAGATGGCTTTTTCCTGGAGTCAGGCAGCTCAGGGACCTGGGCTCTCCTCTGACTGCCCCAGCCAAACTCTGTGTCATTCTGCTGGTCAATGGCCTGCGGCATGCTGGCATCTGTTGGTGTGCTCTTCCGCCAGAGTGCTCCCCTCGATGTCCTCTCAACGTCCAGCCACCTGTGTCTTTTTCCACCAATGTGTTCCTCACAATGTCCAGCCACTTGTGTATCTGACTGCTAGGGTTTCAGGGGTTTTTATAGGCACAGGATGGGGGTGTGGCAGGCCAGAGTGGTCTTGGAAAATGCAACATTTGGGCACAAAGACAGATGTGCCTGTCCTCACCTAGGTCTGTGGGGGTAGAGTCCTAGCCAGGCACCATGCCCTCCTCTACCCAGCCCTTCCATTCCCCACTTCCATATCATTTAAAAGGACCATGCTCTTTCCTTCCCAGCACTTCAGTATCAGTAGCCTCTAGGGAAGTGTTAGAATGAATACCCTTTTAGCAGTTGCCATCCCCAGACAGCTAAGCGTTAACCAGTTTAGTGGAGAGTCAGACAGCTTTTTACACCCTGTCCTCTTAGTACCCGGGTCCTTGTCTGGCATCCAGGAAGAATCGGGTCATGTGAACTTGAAGGATGGTGAATGCAGGGATTTTATTGACTGATGGAGGTGGCTCTCAGTGGGATGGATGGGGAGCTGGAAAGGGGATGTAGTGAGAAGATGATCTTCCCCTGGAGTTTGGCCATCCCCAGCTGAACTCCTCTTGACGTTCAGACGCTCCTTCTCTTCTCTTTCTTCGCCTTACTGCTCTGCCACCCAGCAGCTATTCTGCTCATGGAGCCTGGGGTTTAGCGTTTATATGGGTACAGGATTGGGTGGGTACGGCAGGCCAAAAGTCAACATTTGGGTGTGAAAACAGGAATGCCTGTTCCCATTTAGGGTCACAGGTTTCCAGGCTTGAGGGTGGGGCTTTTGCCAGGGAACTGCCCTCTTCTACCCAGTATTTCCCTGCCTCCTGTCCATCTCAGGAGAACCACTTGAGCCCAGGAGTTCTGGGCTATAGTGCTCTATGATGAGGTGTCTGCACTAAGTTTGGCATCAATGTGGTGACCTCCCCAGAGTGGGGACTGCCAGGTTGCCTAAGGAGGGGTGAACTGACCCAGGTTGGAAACAGAGCAGATTAAAAATTCCTGGGCTAATCAGTAGTGGAATTTCACCTGTTAACAGCCACGGCCCTCCAGCCTGGACAATACAGCAAGATACCATCTCTAAAAGAAATATAAAATTTGTTTTTAAAAAGAAGCAGCACCTGTTAGAGAGAGGAACTTCTGGTTTAATAAATCATGACTAAAGTGACTACATCTTTTTTTCTCTCTCTTTTTTTTTTTTTTTTTTTTTTTTGAGACAGAGTCTTACTCTGTCACCCAGGCTGAAGTGCAGTGGTGCAATCTTGACTCACTGCAACTTCCACCTCCCAGGTTCAAGCGATTCTCATGCCTCAGTCTTCCACTAGCTGGGATCACAGGCATGTGCCACCGTGCCTGGCTAGTTTTTGTATTTTTAGGAGAAACGGGGTTTCTCCATGTTGGCCAGGCTGGTCTTAAACTCCTGGCTTCAAGTGATCTGCCCACCTCGGCCTCCCAAGTGACTACATCTTAAAGTGCATAGCTGGGCACTCACAAGGCACCTATAAGGTTAATGCTTATGGTCTGAAAATAGCTACATCCCAAGCTGACCACCAATTATAATTACAGAATATTTATGGCCATACAGAACACCTCCTACCAAGCCTGCAGGATGTCCAGATGCCCTAAGAGTGAAGCCCACTTTACTTAAAGATAACCTTAATGAACAGGCTTAGATTAAAAGATTAATGGTCTTTAATAGCACCAATAACCCCTACCTTTAGTGAGAACATCTGCACATTCCAAGTTTAATTATAGCTCCTTACAGTTTTTTTTAAGAGATGAGGTCTCGCTCTGTTGCCCAGGCTGGAGTGCTGTGGCGAGATCTCAGCTCACTACAGCCTCCATCTCCCAGGTTCAAGCAGTTCTCCCACCTCAGCCTCCCGAGTAGCTGGGATTACAGGGTCCTGCCACCATGCCTGGCTAATTTTTGCATTTTTAGTAGGGACAGGGTTTCACCATGTTGGCCAGGCTGGTCTCGAACTCCTGACCTCAGGTGATCCACCCGGCTCGGCCTCCCAAAGTGCTGGGATTACAGGCGTGAGCCACCGTGCCCGGCTACAGATTTTTATGAGTAGAGGCACTAACAAAGGATCGAGCATTCCTCCTCCTGCTTTCTGAGGGCACCCCACTCTGTAGTTTCTAATAAACTTGGAGTAGTTTCTAATAAACTTGCTTCTTTCACTGTGCTCTGTGACTCACCTCTAATTCTTTCCTGTGAGAGATTCAAGAACCCTCTCTTGGGGTCTGGATGGGGACCCTCTTTTCTGGCAATGTGCCCACATGGGAGAGAAGGACCCAAAGATGCTTCCCCATGAGCCCCTCCTACATATTCTTTCTCTTCCCCCTACTGCCCCAAACCTCCTCTTCAACATCACCCAGAGGTCCTGGCCCCTGTGGAGCCCACCAATCTAGCAGGAATCCCCCCATCTGTCCTGGAGCTGAGGATAAGCACTTGAGGAACAAGTTCATTGGCTTAGGGAACTCTCTCCCTCTCTTGTCCTTCAGCCACAGGCTCTGCCGGGCCCCAGTCCTGGGCCGACAAGGAGCCTCAGCATTCAACGCTGGCTCCAGACCCCACCTGGCTCAAGACCCCACCCTTCAGATACTCCGTGGGAGGGCTCCTTGCAAGGGGTGCCAGCACTCTGACCTCTGATCAACAAAACAAACAAACCCTGACTGGTTAAAATGAATGTAAACCAAGAACTAGCAAGAAACAGGTTTTCATATAAACACTTTAGATATTTTAACAAAAATGAAATCAACATCTTGGAGAAACTAAAATACAACAAATCAGCTTCTGGTCTCCTGGTTTCTCCCAAGTTTTCCAACATGGCAGTGACTGCCATTTATTTTGTCACCAAAGAATCACAGAAAAGGAAGAAACTAGACTTTTTAAGTCCTACGTGTTTTCAGTGTAAACTGTTTTTAATCACTAAATGCATGTACCTCCTCCCGCAAGACTCCCTGGCTCTCCCTAACTCCAGTGAAACTGTGGGGAGAACCCTGGGCTTTGTACCCAGGACGGGGAGGGCAGAGAAGAATCCTACTCTCCTTGGGGCTGCTGTGAAGCGGTTGCATCTGAAAAAATATCTTCCTCAAGCTAAAAGGCTTCTCCACAGCAAAGGAAACAACCAACAAAGTGAAAACCCACACGATGGGAGAAAATATTTGCAAACTGTCCATCTGACAAGGGATTAATAACCAGAACATATAAGGAGCTTAAACAACTCAATAGCAAAAAATAAAAATAATCTGATTTAAAAAGTGGGCAAAAGATTTGAACAGACATTTCTCAAAAACAGACATACACATGGCTAACAGGTATAAGAAAAAATGCTCAATATCACTAATCATCAGAGAAGTGCAAATCAAAACCACAATGAGATATCATTGCACCCCAGTTAAAATGGCTTGTATCAAAAAGGCAGGCAATGGGTACAAAAAATAGAATTAATGAATAAGTCTTAGAATTAATGACGGCACAACAGGGAGACTACATCAATAATAATTTAATTATACATTTCAAAATAACTGAAAGAGTATAATTGAATTGTTGGTAACACAAAGAATAAATGCTTGAGGGGACGGATACCCCATTTTCCATGATATGATTATTACAGATTGCATGTCTATATCAAAACAGCTAATGTATCCCATATATACCTACTACGTACCCACAAGAATTAAAAATAAAAATAAGTAAATAAAGGCAGGCGATAACAGATCTGGCGAAGATGTGGAGAAAGGGGAATCCTCATACGCTGTTGGTGGGAATGTAAATTAGAACAGTATGGAGGTTCTGCAAAAAAACTAAAAATAGAACTACCATTTGGTCTAGCAATTTCACTGCTGGGTATATACTCAAAAGAAAGGAAATCAGTATATTAAAGAGATATCTCCCTCCCATGTTTACTGCAGCACTATTCAAAATATAGAATCAACGTAAGTACCCATCAACAGATGAATAAAGGAAATGTGTTATATTTACACAATGGAATATTATTCAGCTATAAAAAGAGTGAAATCCTGTCACTTGCAGCAGCATGGATGGAACCAGAGGCCATTATGTTAAGTGAAATAAGCCAAGCACAGAAAGACAAATATCGCATGTTCTCATTCATATGTGGAAACTAAAAACGTGGATCTCGTGATGATACCGAGTAGACTGCTATTAGCCAGAGTCCAGAAATGGGATGGGGGATGAAAATAAGGAAATGAGATAGGAGATACATATGTATTTATTACCACTTAACTGTACACTTAAAAATGATAAAGATGGTAAGTTTTAAAAAATTAAAATGTAGAGGCATGGTGGCTCACGCCTGCAATCCCAGCACTTTGGGAAGCCGAGGCAGGCGGATCATGAGGTCAGGAGATTGAGACCCTCCTGGCCAACATGGTGAAACCCCATCTCTTCTGAAAATACAAAAATTAGCTGGGCGTGGTGGCGCGTGCCTGTAATCCCAGCTACTCAGTAGGCCGAGGCAGGAGAATCTCTTGAACCCAGAGGCGGAGGTTGTAGTGAGCCGAGATCACGCCACTGCACTCCAGCCTGGGCAACAGAGTGAGGCTCCATTTCAAAAATAAAATAAAATAAAATTTTGAAAAAAAAGTGAGAGTCATACTAGGATGAAACAGACCTTCAGGAAGAATACTGGAGTCCAAAAAACGAATTCACTGTGCAGCTAAGAAAAAAAATGTTGATTTCTGTAGCTCCACTTTACGAAACACTAGCAGCAGCAGCAGTAGCAGTAGGAGGAGAGTAGTGGCTGTAGTAGTAGTTGTAGTCGTGTAGCCGCAGCGCCAGCAGTAGTAGTAACTAGGTTTTGTGAGTGTTTTGCATGTGCCGGATTCCATCTGTGTTATATGCTTTACAATTTAACATGGATAAACCACAGCCAGTAGAAAATTTCACTTCACAATTTTTCCTTCCTTTTTAGCTGGTGAGAAATCTGCCTATGTTTTCTTCCTGGCATGAGGGGCTAAAATCATTTCCAATCCAGCAAGCAGAACAGCCCCTGCCAAAGAGAGAGAGAAAAATTCTTCAACATCATATATCTGCAGGCGGAAGGAGGGGACAGAACCATTACTGTGTTAAAAGACTGAGAAGTCACTCAGTGAAGACACATGTTTGCATATCTGAACGCAGTGTTTCCCAAATTTATTTGACCATGGAGCGAGGTTTTTTTTTTTTTTTTTTCTTTAAGGCAGAGTTTTACTCTTGTTGCCCAGGCTGGACACGATCTCGGCTCACTGCAACCTCCGCCTCCCTGGTTCAAGTGATTCTCCTGCCTCAGCCTCCCGAGTAGCTGGGATTACAGTCACCCATGACCATGCCTGGCTAAATTTTTTTGTATTTTTAGTAGAGATGGGGTTTCACCATGTTGGCCAGGCTGGTCTTGAACTCCTGACCTCAAGTGATCCGCCCGCCTCGGCCTCCCAAAGTGCTAGGATTAAAGGCGTGAGCCACCGGGCCTGGCCGGAGCAAGTATTTTGGGGCATCAGAGATGCCCAGACTCCTCAGTTTATACTTGGGAAAATGTTGATTTGGCCAAAAGGCAAGTTTTTGAGTCAGGCTGAGTTTTAACTCTGCCCTTTGGCAGCTGTTCATTGTCGGGCAAGGTACAAGGCTGTTTCCTTATCGGTGAGACCTAGAATAATATTGCCAACATTTAGTGTGCAGTAAGGAGCAGCTGATATTCAAGACATCTAAAATTCCTGGCACACAATACATTTCCAGTAAATGACAGCTTTTTTTTATTATTTCTCAGAAGAAACAGCACCAGCATAGCTCTGGACAACTCCAAGTCCCTCCCCTTAGTGCACCTCAAACCTCTCCCTCAACACTCTAACTGCCCTTAGTCAATATATTATTAATGACTCCAATTCTGTCCCTTCCGGGGATGAGGATGTAGTGAAAGAATTGGCCAAGGTGATTAATAAAAAACCATCCGACTCTCCGGTTCTCTGGACAACAGTTTAGGCAAGGCAGACCCAGCCCGAAGGCCCAGGTGCTGGGTGGTCCTAGCAATGCCCTTGGGACCCAGCCAGAAGCACAGAGGGGTCGGAGAAATAGGATTGAGGCTTATGGAAACGATACTATGGAGAACTGCATTGTAGACTGTAGAGGAAATCCCTCCACTCCAGGTTATTTGAGTCCAAATCCCTGGAAGGTATTGTACAACTCTAGATAACAGCAAGCACAACAAACTGTGGTCTATAGACAATTTCGTCCTGCTCCTGGAGGTTCAACTGACTTCCCTTTACCCACTTTGCTTCCCTTTACACACTAACTTTAATATTCCTAATCTATGACTGTATCTGCCTTCCCACTCTTCCCTTGAACTGGTGTATTAGTCCATTTTCACACTGCTGATAAAGACATACCCAAGACTGGGTAATTTATAAAGAAAAAGAGGTTTAATGGACTCACAGTTCCACATGGCTGGGGAGGCCTCACAATCATGGTGGAAGGCAAAAGGCACATCTTACATGGGGGCAGACAAGAGAAAATGAGAGCCAAACAAGAGGGGAAACCTTTGTAAGACCATCAGATTGTGTCCAAAATTGGTGGGTTCTTGGTCTCACTGACTTCAAGAACGAAGCCACAGACCCTCCCGGTGAGTGTTATGGTTCTTAAAGATGGTGTGTCCGGAGTTTGTTCCTTCTGATGTTCGTATGTGTTTGGAGTTTCTTCCTTCTGGTGAGTTCATGGTCTCACTGGCTTCAGGAGTGAAGCTGCAGACCTTCACAGTGAGTGTCACAGCTCTTAAGGTGGCGCGTCTAGAGTTGTTTGTTCCTCCCGTCCAGAACTGTTCGTTCTTCCCATCCGGAGTTATTCATTCCTCCTGTTGGGAGTTGTTCGTTCCTCCCAGTGGGTTCGTGGTCTCGCTGGCCTCAGGAGTGAAGCTGCAGACCTTCGTGATGTTACAGCTCTTAAGGCGGTGCGAACCCAAAGAGTAAGCAGCAGCAAGGTTTACTGCAAAGAGCGGAAGAACAAAGCCTCCACAGGGTGGAATGGGACCAAAGCAGATTGCGGCTGCTGGCTCAGGCAACCTGCTTTTATTCCCTTATCTGGCCCCACCCACATCCTGCTGATTGGTCCATGTTACAGAGAGTTGATTGGTCCGTTTTGACAGGTGCTGATTGGTTCTACAAACCTTTAGCTAGAAACAAGTTGTCCAAGTCCCCAAATAGATTAGCTAGACACAGAGCACTGATTGGTTTACAAACCTTGAGCTAGACACAGAGCACTGATTGGTGCATTTACAATCCTTTAGCTAGACACAAAAGTTCTCCAAGTCCCCAAATAGATTAGCTAGACACAGAGCACTGATTGGTTTACAAACCTTGAGCTAGACACAGAGCACTGATTGGTGCATTTACAATCCTTTAGCTAGACACAAAAGTTCTCCAAGTCGCCACTAGATGAGCTAGACACAGAGCACTGATTGGTGCATTTACAAACCTTGAGCTAGACACAGGGTGCTGACTGGTGCATTTACAAACCTTGAGCTAAACACAGAGTGCCGATTGGTGCGTTTACAAACTTTGAGCTAGACACAGAGCGCTGATTGGTGCATTTACAATCCTTTAGCTAGACATAAAAGTTCTCCAAGTCCCCACCCAACTCTGGAGCCCAGCTGGCTTCCGCCTAGTGGATGCCATGCCTGGACTACAGGCGGAGCTGCCCGCCAGTCCCCATGCTGCCCACCCGCACTCTTCAGCTCTTGGGCAGTCGATTGGACCAGGCGCCTAGAGCAGGGGGCAGCACCTGGGGGAGACTCGGGCCATGTGGCAGCCCACAGGGTGGGGTGGGGTGGGGTGGGGGTCTCAGGCATGGCATGCTGCAGGTCCTGAGCCCTGCCCCACGGGGAGGTGGCTGAGGCCTGGCAAGAATTCGAGCGCAGCGCCAGCCAGCAGTGCTGGGGGACCCAGCGCACCCTCTGCAGCTGCTGACCTGGGTGCTAAGCCCCTCACTACTGGGGCAGTGGTGCCCGCTGGCGGCTCCGAGTGTGGGGCCTGCCGAGCCCACGACCACCCGGAACTCACGCTGGCCCACCAGCGCTACACACAGCCCCAGTTCCTGCCCGCACCTCTCCCTCCGCACCTCCTCGCAAGCAGAGGGAGCCGGCTCCAGCCTTGGCCAACCCAGAGAGGGGCTCCCACAGTGCAGCAGCAGGCTGAAGGGCTCCTCAAGCGTGGCCAGAGCGGACGCCCAGGCTGAGAAGGTGCCGAGAGCGAGCGAGGGCCGCCAGCACGTTGTCACCTCTGAAGATCTCGGCCAGGCCTGCTCTGTGACTTCCGCCACGCTCCCACGGGTGGCGGCGAGGAGCCTGAGCCGGCGATGGTGCTACAGGAGGCGCTGGAGCCGGCCATGTGCCTGGATCGCTACCCGCATGTGCAGCTTGAGGCCTCGGAGCTGCTGCTGGAAGATGGCGGCTCAGCCCTGGCCACTGAGCTCAACACCGCCAAGCTTGCCCTGGCCTATGCAGGCATGGAGATGAATGACTTGGTGGTGAGCTGCGGCCTGGGCCTCACGCCAGGGTCCGTGCCCACCTGGCTGCTGGACCCCATGCGGCTCGAGGAGGAGCACACCGCCCCCGGTGTCACCTTGGCACTCCTGCCCATGCTGAATCAGGTGGCCCGGCTGCTGGCTGCAGGGAGGGCGGCCTGACCATGAGCTGGGTGGAGGCTGTAGGCCTGGGCCTCGAGGGCTGCGAGCCCTCGACCCCATGCTGCAGCAGTGCCTGGTGTGGGCTGCCTGCCACAGGGGCACCACTGCCCCACCCTGAACCAGAAGCCTGAGCAACGACAGACGCCACGCTGAGGACCGTGCTGCCACCGTCCTTTTGGGGACTCATGACATTGGCCTCCAGCCTGCATTGAGATAAACAGCCGGAGCCCCGGAGAGCACCTGGGGAGGCTCGAGCAGAGTCTGCTGTGGTGTTAGAAGGGTTTTGGTTTTTTTTTGTGAGACAGAGTCTCGCTCTGTCGCCCAGGCTGGAGTGCAGTGGCGCGATCTCGGCCAACAGGGTTTGATCTATTGAAAAGGGCTCCCTAGGCTCTGTTCTCTCTTAAGGTTTAATAAGTATCAGAAACACATCAAAAGAGACCTGTTCTCTCCTTACTGCATATGCATTTTCTTTCTCTCCATCCTGTGGATGCCAATAAACATTTAAGGATTTTGAGGACTAAAAAGATATGAATCTTGACTTACCAATCTCCCTGATACAAGTATTATCCTATTGATGTTCTATAAAAAGCAATTATTGTAACCATCCAACAGGTTCTTCTTGCTCGCTGCCTAGACACAGACAATTTATCAAGACAGGGGATTGCAATAGAGAAAGAGTTTAATTCACGCAGAAACAGCTGTACAGGAGACTGGAGTTTTACTATCACTCAAATCAGTTTCCCTGAAAATGAAGTGATCAGAGTTTTTAAGGACAATTTAGTAGGTAGGGGCCAGTGATTCAGGAGTGCTGATTGATAGGGCTGGAGGTGAAATAATAGGGAGTCAAAGTTGTTCTCTCGCGCTGAGTCAGTTCCTGGGTGGGGACCACGAGACCAGATGCGCCAGTTTATTAATCTGGGTGGTGGCAGCTGATCCATCAAGGATCTGCAGGGTCTGCAAAATATCTCAAACACTGATCTTAGGTTTTATAATAGTGATGTTATCCCCAAGAGCAATTCGGGGAGGGTCAGAATCTTGTAGCCTCCAGCTCTGTGACTCCTAAATCATAATTTCTAACCTTGTGGCTAACTTATTAGTCCTACAAAAGCAGTCTAGTACTTAGGCAGAAAGGGGATCTGTTTTGGGAAAGGGCTGTTAGTGTCTTTGTTTCAAAGTTAAACTATAAACTAAGTTCTTTGCAAAGTTTGGCCTATGCCCAGGAATGAGCAAGGGCAGCTTGGAGGTTAAAAGCAAGATGGAGTTGGTTGGGTCAGATCTCTTTCACTGTGATAATTTTCTCAGTTATAATTTTGCAACAGTGGTTTCATTATTATTTCTACAAACCAAGAAAAAATTTATTTTAAAAGTCAATGTCATTCCACTCCAACTACACTAACTGAGCCATAACAGAGCTCTCTAAATTAGTCATCTGTGTACACGTGGACTTTGGTTTTTAACGCATATTGGAAATGTCATTTCCTTTATTCATCTTATGAACTGACCCCATAAAATTCTTCATATCAAACAGTTCTCAACCACGTGGGCTAACAAAGCAGAAAGTAAAATAATAGTCACGTTCAATCATTTATTTGGCCCATGTGATTAAAATAAACATTGTAAGGCCTGGATTTATATAGCCTTTAAACTTTTAGACAGAACTTTCACATACATTTTCCTGTAAGCTTATTGGACAGGTATTGCTATTCTGGTTGGAAAGGTTCAGAAACAAGGCACAAATAAGTAAATATTTTAGATCAAACAGTATCAGAAAGGATTTGTGTTTAATTTTCAAAAACAAGTACAGTTGATTCTCACAATTCATGGTAGTTATGTTCTATAAAGTCACCACAAACACTGAATTAGCAAATACTTCTCTTAGGGGAAACACAGAGTTATAGGTTCCTGCAAGACCCGGTCAAGTTTTTATCAACTAATCACTATATAACCTTGTTTTTTTGTGTGTTTCTGTATAAAGACACTTTATTTCTTATTTAACATACATTGTTGATTTATCAACATTGAACTCATGGTTAGTAGCACTGTAGCTCATGCATAAACAAAGCTTATCTAACACCCATATTTTCCCTGGAAGTTACGTCACACAGCCTTTTTGTGCCTAGGAACACTGAACAGCACCCAGCACTCTGCTTGGAGCCATTTTATACAGTAAAATCACCAACAAAAAGCACAACAGTGCAACAACAACAACAAAAAAAAAGTGACACAAAAAGGACTTTGTTTATGTTATGAGAGCTGGCTATGTTCTGAATGTTTGTGTCCCTCCAAAATTCATACATTGAAAACCTAACCCCGAAGGAGATGGCATTAGGAAGGGGGGGGCCTTTGGGAAGTGTATTAGTCCATTCTTGCATTGCTATAAAGAAATACCTGAGACTGGGTAATTTATAAAGAAAAGAGGTTTAATTCGCTCACAATTCTGCAGGTTCTAAAGGAAACATAGCAACTTCTGCTTCTAGGGAGGCCTCAGGAAACTTACAATCATGGTGGAAGGCAAAGGGGAAGCAGGCCCATCTTATATGGTGGCAGCAGGAGCAAGAGGCTGAGGGGATGCTACCCACTTTTAAACAACCATATTTCATGAGAACTCGCTCACTATCATGAGAACAGCACCAACAGGAATGGTATAAAACCGTCATGAGAATTCTGCCCCCATGATCCAGTCACCTTCCAACAGGCCCCACCTCCAACATTGGGAATTACAATTCAACATGAGACGTGGGCAAGGACACAGATCCAAACCATATCAGAAGATGATTAGATCATGAGATCACAGCCCTCCTGAATGGGATTAGTGCCTTTATAGAAGAGACTCCAGAGAGTTCTCTTGTCTCTTCCACCATGTGAGGACACGGTGAGAAGACGGCCAGCCCTTGAACCAAGAAGCAGGCTCTCCCCAGACACTGTATATGTTACTGGCTTGATCTTGGACTTCCCCGCCTCCAAAACTGTGAGAAATAAAACATAAAGCAACTGTCAGATTCTAATAAAGCATTCTGAGGATTACAACAATGAAAAGGCTGCAGAGGCCCAGACCCCTTCACCTTCATGGGAAGGGCATAGGTTCTCTCTGGCTGCATTTCTGAGAGCACGTGCTTTGTACCCACACCCACAAGATGTTCTCAAAGGAATAAACTGGTTCTAGGGCAGCTTAGCTTGAGAAAGACTAAATATTATAACATGATCTTGTTGGGGTACAGAATATGATACCCCACAATATGGCACTTTGGCATTCTGAGTACTTTGAAAATTGAAAGGCCTCAGAAATTAGCCTCAGAACCAAGGCCTTTCTCTGATCTCCCCCCACTGCCCCCAACCCTGGTCTCTCTCTCTCTCTGATCCTCTGTCTCTCCCAAAGTACAGAATGAAGCTGTTTTCTGAAGTTCCTTGCTCCACCTAGAAACTGAACCCCAAAGAGGAACAAAATCGCTTTTGATCCCTTCCCTGAAATTTCATTAACCAGAGAAAATTAAAACTCCTATCACAGAGGAAGACTGAAAATTGAATAACACTCCTGCAGCCCAGACAAACTTCGTGCTAGGCCACTGCGTGTCCTCTGGTCCCATTCAATTCCCAAAGAGAATTATTTACTTACCATTGTCTGAGCATTAGGTCCATTCTTTCCCCTGAAAATTATTTACCCCAGCAGCCCCCATTTCCTCTTGCTGTGTGAAGTAACAAATGTAAGTATCTGAACCCCATTGGATTATTGGATTATCATTCTTCTGCAATTCCCTTGTGCCGCGCACATTAAAATACATTTGTATGCCCTTTTCTCCTAATAATCTGCCTTTTGTTAGTTCATTTTCAGCAAACCTTCAGAGGTTGAAGGGGGGAAGCTTTCCCTCTCTCCCTTATAGTTTTTTTGTTGGTTTGTTTGTTTTTGTTTGTTTTGAGGCAGAGTCTCACTCTGTCAGCCAGGCTGAAGTGCAGTGGCATGATATCGGCTCACTGCCACCTCCTTCTCTCGGGTTCAAGTGGTACTCCTGCCTCAGCCTCTTGAGTAGCTGGGATTACAGGCGCACATCACCACACCCAGCTAATTTTTGTATTTTTAGTAGAGACAGAGTTTCACCATGTTGGCCAGCTGGTCTTGAACTCCTGACCTCAGGTGATCAACCCACCTCTGCCTCCCAAAATGTTGGGATTATAGGCGTGAGACACCGCGCTTGGCCCCCTCATATAGTCTTAATGATCTGAATGCAAATTAGCATATTGAAGATTCTGAGAAGCACATGAAAGGTCTTGCATAAAACAAGACTGCTTGCCTTTTCACATTTAATCCAATGTTTCCCAGAATTATTCACACAAGCTATATCGAATCCAAGGCAAAAGAAAGTTCTGTTATCTGTGATTCCCATATTCAACTCATGTTATTTGTTATAGTTTGCATAGCCTAAGAAGCTGCCTGTGATCATTTCTTCAATCAGTTGAATTATCAATTTATTTATTAAAATATAGCTTCAAGTTCTCACCTCAAAACCACTCACATTTGTAAAGCCAATTTACTGCCAAAACTGGCTCTGATCTCCTCCTTTCAGGGATAGGAAGATGTGAGGATTTTGATTAGGGACTCTAAGATAGTGACATTCCACAGATTCCCTTCTTTTCCATTCTGGTCTTAGGAAGTAGTCCTTTGGGCTGGGTGCGGTGGCTCAAGCCTATAATCCCAGCACTTTGGGAGGCTGAGGTGGGTGGATCACCTGAGGTCGGGAGTTCGAGACCAGCCTGATCAACATGGTGAAACCCCATCTCTACTAAAAATACAAAAAATTAGCCGGGCATAGTGGCGGGTGCCTGTAATCCCAGCTACTCAGGAGGCTGAGGCAGGAGGATCCTTGAACCTAGGAGGCGGAGGTTGCAGTGAGCCAAGATCACACCATTGCACTCCAGCCTGAGCAACAGAGTGAGACTCCATCTCAAAAAAAAAAAAAAAGAAAGAAAGAAAAGAAAAAGAAAGTAGTCTTTGGCAATTTGTCTCTAAATCCAGGATCTTCGAGGCAGAAGAATAGCCTTGCAGGAGGAGCAGAAAGCGGAAGATCCTTCAGCCCTGTGTGGAAACAAACAGACCCTCACGACCCACCTAGGTCTTATCCTTGGTGCTGTCTTGAGATTCCCTTCCCAGCAGGTCCATGCAAAGCTAAGTTACATCACTAAATAGACAGCTTATACTTTCTTCTCATTTCCAAATAACCCTGTATTCATAGGCTTAGCTTCAGAGAAGCCATCGTGCCACAGGTGGGAGATGCAGCCAGGGCTGAGGAGGGTAGGGTAGTTTAGGCGATTTCTGTTTCTCTTTGTGTTGCTTCATTAAACCTTCATTAAATTCTGCTCCAAAAAGGAGTCTACAACTGTTACTTGCAGAATATCTCCATTTAAAATCATTTAGCCCCTGAAAACTCCAGTTGATTTTAGCTTGTACCATTCAGGCCAAAGATTATCTTCTAACTCAGAAGAATATACAAAAATGCCTTCCTCAGCCTCAAACTGGAAAAAGATCCTGTATCTGCTCTCAGAATGAGCACGAAGTAAACCTACAAAGGGCTTCCTGTATTTAACCCCTTCTGTTTCCTGCCTCGTGTGTTCTCAGCCCATCTTTTTTTTTTTTTTTTTTTTTTTTTCTGAGACGGAGTCTCGCTCTGTCACTAGGCTGGAGTGCAGTGGTGCGATCTCAGCTCACTGCAACCTCCGCCTCCCGGGTTCAAGCGATTCTCCTGCCTCAGCCTCCCGAGTAGCTGGGACTACAGGCGCCCGCCACCATGCCCGGCTAATTTTTTTGTATTTTTAGTAGAGATGGGGTTTCACCGTGTTAGCCAGGATGGTCTCGATCTCCTGACCTCGTGATCCGCCCGCCCCGGCCTCCCAAAGTGCTGGGATTACAGACGTGAGCCACCACGCCCGGCCCTTAGCCCACCTTTTACCCAGCCATTGTGCAAGTGGACTCTGATAGAACCTACCCCAGATGTCCCTATTTCCCTTACTTGCTGCCCCAGGGCTTCTCTGCAGCTAATGAGTGGGCCACCACCCAGAAACATTCAACTGCAGGCGTGCAAACCTAGAGCACAAGGGAGTTAACACTCTGGAGCAGCTTCAATCAATGAGGGCGAGTCAGTAAGAAAATATGACTATCTTCTGCTTCTCAAGAGAATCATTCCAAGATGCAGTCTACACAGCTCTTCAAAGGGTCCCTGTGGATGGCATGGCAGTGACCAACCAGCTCCACAATGCAATCTTGCATGAATCGGCTTTCTCTACCGTTTCCTTCTTCCTGCTCTCCCCTGCCCCAACTCCTGTTTCTTCAATCACTTCCCCAAATTAACACCAGCACACGACCCTTATCTCAGGCTCTGGTTTCTGGGAGGAGGCAGGCTGAGATGGCTTCCTTCCATGAGATCCTGTAGGACAATTCCCTGATCTTTAGCACACACAAAAGAAAAGAAAGAAAGAAAAAGACTCCTTAAAAAAGTAATATAGGCCGGGCGTAGTGCTCACACCTGTAATCCCAGCACTTTGGGAGGCCGAGGCGGGCCTATCACCTGAGGTCAGGAGTTCAAGACCAGCCTGGTCAACATAGTGAAACCCCATCTCTACCAAAAATACAAAAATTAGCCGGGTGTGGTTGTGGGCGCCTGTAATTCCAGTTATTTGGGAGGCTGAGGCAGGAGAATCACTTGAACCCAGGAGGTGGAGGTTGCAGTGAGCTGAGATGATGGCACCGCACTCCAGCCTAGGTGACAGAGTGAGACCCTGTCTCAAAAAAAAAAAAAAAGTAATTTATGTGTTCATTAAAATTAGTCATTGGCTTTTAAATAGGATTTTTGTATCTTATAAAAAATTATTTAAAATTATTACGTGTACATGTGTGTGGTTGTTAGACATCTTTGAATAGGTGATAATATCTTATTAAGTTCTTTCATTAATTGAGTTTAAAAATATTTGACACCCATTGATTTTATATTTGTATGAGAGTCATGATTTTACTTTTTTAAAAAATTGCTCTTTAAATAACAGATGCTACTGAGGTTGCAGAGAAAAGGGAATGCTTATACACTGTTGGTGGGAATGTAAATTAGTTCAACCATTGTGGAAAATAGTGTGACATTTCCTCAAATACCTAAAAACAGAAATACCATTTGACCCAGCAATCCCAAAACTAGGTATATACCCAAAGGAATATAAATCATTCTATCATAAAAACACATGCACATGTACATTCATTGCAGCACTACTCACAATAGCAAAGACATGGAATCTAAATGCTCATCAATGGTAGACTGGATAAAGAAAATGTGGTACATATACACCATAGAATACTATGCAGCCATAAAAAATGAGATCATGTCCTTTGCAGGGACATGGATGGAGCTGGAGGCCATTATCCATATCAAACTCATGCAGAAATAGAAAACCAAATACCGCATGTTCTCACTTAGTAGTGGGAGCTAAGTTATGAGAATACATGGATACATAGAGGGAAACAACACACACCAGGGCCTATCAGAGAGTGGAGGGTGGGAGGAGGGAGAGGACCATGAAAAATAACTAATAGGTACTAGGCTTACTACCGGTTAATGAAATAATCTATACAACAATCCCCATGACACAGTTTACCTGTGTAACAAACCTGCACATGTACCCCAGAACTTAAAATAAAAGGTTTTTTATTTATTTATTTATTTATTGAGATGGAGTCTCGCTCTGTTGCCCAGGCTAGAGTGTAGTGGCGTGATCTCTGCTCACTGCAACTTCCGCTCCCCAGGTTCAAGGGATTCTCTCTTCTCAACCTCCCGAGTAGCTGGGACTACAGGTGCCCACCACCATGCCCAGCTATGTTTTGTATTTTTAGTAGAGACAGGGTTTCACCATGTTGGCCAAGCTGGTCTTGAACTGCTGACCTTGTGATCCACCCGCCTCAGCCTCCCAAAGTACTGGGATTACAGGCATGAGCCACCACGCCTGGCCAAGGTTTTTCTTTAATTGCTCTTTAATAGTTGAGGATTCATGAATTACTGTCAAAAAAACTCAGTCATTTTGTGACCTGGCTCCAAGTAGTCATGTGGACTTTCCCTATAAGATTGTCATGAAGGGAAGATCAGACATCTGTCTTATTAACCTCTCTACCCCCACTGACACAAAGCTGACACATGGTAGGTTCTTAATGAATATATGAATGGAAAAGCTAAACTCGGTAAAATAATTTAAAGAGGTTTCTTCTGAGCCAAGATGAGTGACCTCAGGCAGGGGAAAACAAAAACCCAAGAAGTCTTGAGTAAGTGAGCCCAAGGAGATCAGATTACAGTTTGGTTTTATACATTTTAGGGAGACAGGAGTATCAGGCAAAGGCATAAATCAATGCATGGAAGGTATACGTTGGTTTGGCCCAAAAAGAAAGGATATTTTAAAGCAGAAGCTAACAGGTGTATAGGTGGATTTAGAGATTATTTAATTTGTAATCGGTTAGAGTAGTAAGGCTCTCTCTAAAACTTGTAGTCAGCAGAAAGGAATATCTTAAATTCAGATTAGGATGCTATGTAGCAAAATCAATGGCCTGCAGGCGTGATTTAACCCTTGCCTTGCATGGTCTCAGGTCTTGTTTATAATTTGGTATCTCATCTCGACAGAAGTCTGTTTTGTCAGTCCGATGGTCTCTATTTTAACATTAATGCTGGCCAGTTGTGCTTAAACTCTAAGAGGGAGGGAATATAGCAAGGTATGTCTGACCTCCATTCTCATCATGTCCAGGAATTCCATTTTTAAGGTTTTCTTGGGTCCCTCTGGCCAAGAGGGGATCCTGTTCAATCAGAGGGGGGCTTAGGATTTTATTTTATTTTATTTTAGAAACGTTTGTAGAATAAATGAATTCATGTGGTCATGGTATCCCTTATGCCAAGGTCAGTAAGGGACCTAACCATGTGTGAGGTGATAAACTTTCCGATGAGAATGTTTCTTTCCCTACATCTGTCTTTGTTATGTGCCACGCCCATGATTTCTGATTCCTTTGCCCTGGGGAGGCAGGTTTCTAATTTGAAAAGGAAGCCAGAAAAAAATGTCAGGAAAAAATAAATTGTGATGGAGAAAAGAAAGAGTAATGTCCTGAATAGGAAGGGGTGATAAGTGAAGAGAATAAAAGCAGTTTTGATATTGATGTGCTTATTGAATTTAAAATGCAAAGATACATTTTATGAGAAATGCATATTGAAGGTAGAAGTTAGAGAAAAGAGCAAAAGACCCTGTGGTTTTAAATCTAATAGAATCTGTGACAGGCAGGAGGAAATCTAACGTCTTGAATTGATATGGACGAAAATGAGAAGTAATACAAGAAAATGAGTGATTATTTCTCTTCCTAGAGTAGTGTGGTCTAATAAAAGTATGATGTGAACCACATACGCAATTTTAAATTTTCTAGTAGCAAGATTAAAAAGTAAAAACAGACAGGTAAGATCAATTTTAACAACGTTTCATTTCTCAGTATGTTGAAAATATCTTTGTAACATGTAAACAACATGTAAAAATTACTTAATGAGCTATTTGACATTCTTCGTTTTCATGCTAAGTCTTTAAAATGCAGTGTGTATTTTATGTTTAAAGCATATCTCAGTTCAGACAAGCCACATCTCAAGTGGTCAATAGCCATGTGTGGCTGGCGGCCACCGTATTGGACAACACATGTATGCAACTTCAAGGTGACAAGGCTCCTGTATTTTGATTCAGTGGCAGATTTATTAAATCACTTCCAATTTCTATTTATTAGAAAACATTGGGTCTTCATGGTCCCCTTAATCTTTCTAAAATTTCAACTTTCCTTTAAACAAAAGAAAAATAGTACTCTGCATATCATTACATTTTGATGTTTGGTGTTATTAAGTACTTATTTCAGTATCAGCCAAAATGTCAAAAAAAAGTCTGATTCAAATAAAATGAAAGTCGTAAGAGCCAAACTTGTCCTTAAATCTTCACATTCACATTTACCATTAGCTCCTTGTAGATCTGTGTTTCAAGAGGAAATATCAGAATGCAGGAGAGTGACTGTGTCGGGACATCTCAAAACCACTCCAGCCCTGTTCTGTGGCTGGGATTGCGAGGAGGCATTTGGAAGGGTCACGAGAGCCTTAGGTTATACTATACCACTTACTAACATCACAGGAGCTTCTGGGTGTCATTTTGCCAGCCAGAAACCTCTGTGGCTGGTGGTGCCTTTGTCCGAGTTTTGCTTGGGCTGGCTAGGCTCATTCCACCCACTCAGCCCAGCAGGCTGTACTCAGCCCACACTACCGGCCCAGATCCCACGCCTGCCAAGGGCAAGCCAGGCACAGAGTGGTGAGGGATGTGTAAGTGAGCGAGCATGGGGTCTGGACACTGCACACAACCAGGCATGCCAGCTGCTGCAGCGGGATGGGCAGCTCCAGACACCAGCTCCCTGCGAGGCCTCAGTTGGACCAGATGTACTACGAGTGGTTTCCCCTGTGGGCACCAGTGTCTGGACTGGGTAACAAAGTAGCTTGGAGATGCCAGAAGCCGCAGAGCCCTAAAGAGGGTGCTACAGCCCTGGCTGGGGGAGCCCCTAGGTCTGGGCTTCCTGAGGGGCTGCAGCTCTTCTCTCCTTCTTGTCACCTGCAACTTGGAAAACAGGGGTGCGTGTTTCAGCCCTGTTTGTGTTACAGCTCTTTCAGTCCCACCATTTGGGTTTCCTGAGTTATTGTCATGCATCCAGGAGGAATGAGATACATGGACAAATGGAGGGTGAACAAGGTGGAGAAGAGATTTATTGAGCCACAGTACAGCTCTCAGGAGACCCGAAGTGGGTAGCTCCTGACAGGTAGCAGGTCATCCCAACATCTGTGCAGCTCTCGGCAGAGAGGAGACCTGGAGTGGGTAGCTTCTATCTGCAGGCAGGGCGTCCTGCCATTGGCTTGAGTCTGGCTGAATGGGGGGGTTTATGGGCTAGGAAGGGAGGAAGTACATGCTGATTTATCCCTGGATGGCCATGGGCAGGCCCTGAAAAAAGCACCATAAGTTCTCACTCTGGGCTGCAGACTTCACCTAGAACTGACAGCCTGGCTCCCAGGCTTCAGGCCATCCCTGGCTTGAAGGTGGGCAGGGACCTCCCCATTTTACCCAGGAAGCTGTCTGTCTCCCGCCATCAATGTGCCATCCATGATGCCCAGGCTGTTCATGCCAAGGGGTGCTTTCAGGCTCACGTAGAGCCACCCTCAGCACCTCCCAGCCTCCCTCCCACACTCTTTGGTGCCCAAAGTCCAAAAAGGGCTGAGGCGGTGTGTCAGCATGGTCCTGAGCACATGCACACCTGGCTGGGTCACTACAGGGCCCAGGCTAGGCTACCTTGTTCCACATCAGAGCAGGCCCTAGATATGGGGAGAGGCCAGGGAATAAGAGGAGGAACTTCCGAGCCTGTGGGGGTAGGGGGAGCTTCCCTGGCCCCCAAGAGTGCAGGGATGCCGGAGCCTGGAGCTGCAGCTGGGCAGCTATAGCTATGCCTGGGGAGCCTGGGGCTCCCACCCCGCCAGCGCGGCCAACTCAGTAGGAGGCAGGGCTCTGACCTGTTCCTGGCCCCCAAGAACACAGGAATACCAGGGCCTGGAGCCTGTTCCCAGCTCCTGCTGGCTTCCTGGAGGGCGCAGTCCCAACCACACCCTTCTCCCCCATTACAGCCGGCATCTTCACAGTGGCCACTCCAGACAGGCCACTATTGCCATCACTAATTCCCTCTTTCAGAATTACCTAGAAGCCTCAGAGGACCCAGTACGCTGTGGGGGAAGAAAAGGAATAAAAGCTCCCACCCACTCCCAGATTCAGCCCCACAGACTTGCATTTCCCAAGTCCCCACCTTCTGTATCCCATAAAGATCGTTTGCCTTTAGCCATGGTACTCAGGGTGAGCTTGGCTATGGCAGGGCCTCTATAACCTTCATCAGCACCTTTCCTTGGCCAACCTCAATAAACAGTCATTAAAACAGTGGGCAGCTATACGAACAAAAAACCACAGGGATGTTCCCTGATCCCAGCTACTTTCCAGACACACCTTGGTTCCAAAGTCAAATTCTGGAGCTGACTCTGACAGAGACCACCAGGTCTAGGACCCAAAGTTCAGTGCCAGGCTCAAAGGATACAAGACAGAGGCAGACTGGCAGGACTCAGAGACTCCATCCAACTTTGCCCCTCCTGAAGCCACAAGACAGGGAATGCCTGGGGCTACCAGGAGCTGGAAGAGGAAGGAAGGATTCTCTCTAGAGTCTTTGCAGAGAGAGCAAAGCCCTGCTGACACCTGCTGGCTTCCAGAACTGTAAGGGAATGCATTTGTATTGTTTGAAGATGTCCATGTTTGTGGTCATTTGTGATAACAGCCCTAGGAAACTAATGCACCCATATGTCAGACATTATTACAGACAGGCATCCTTATGGTTGGATCAGCTGGATCCTGGAAGAATTGAGCTCACCTGGGAGCTCTTACTCCCCTGGCAAGCAAAAGGGAACTCTGAATGCTGAACAATGTGCCAGGAAATGGTTATTTATATGAAAGCTATTGGTGGGAAGAGGAATGGGTTCTCAAACCTGGCTGATTATCAGAATCCCTGGGGCTATTTTTAAATAGCCAGGTTGTTGTTGTTGTTGTTGTTGTTGTTGTTGTTGTTGTTGTTTGAGAGGGGGTTTTGCTCTTGTTGCCCAGGCTAGAATGCAATGGCACGATCTCGGCTCACTGCAACCTCCACCTCCCGGGTGCAAATGATTCTCCTGTCTCAGTCTCCCAAGTAGCTGGAATTACAGGCTCCCTCCGCCATGCCCAGCTAATTTTTGTATTTTTAGTAGAGATGGCGTTTCATCATATTGGTCAGGCTGGTCTCAAACTCCTGACCTCTGGTGATCCGCCTGCCTTGGCATCCCAAAGTGCTGGGATTACAGGCGTGAGCCACTGTGCCCGGCCTAAATATCCAGGTTCTTAGAGCTCATCCACAACCTTATAAATCAGAATTTCTAGTAGTACAGCCAATAAGCTGAATTTTTAAGGGTCCCCTGAGGTTTCTGCTTTTCGACTTGGTCTCATCTCCATGCC
This sequence comes from Homo sapiens, assembly GCF_000001405.40. Classification (NCBI taxonomy): domain Eukaryota; kingdom Metazoa; phylum Chordata; class Mammalia; order Primates; family Hominidae; genus Homo; species Homo sapiens. Next base: position 242,863 of record NT_187564.1, read on the forward strand.
AGGGTGAGAGGGGGTTTACTTCTCTATGATGTGTGTGTAACAGGCGCCATCCTGACCAGAGGAGGGCAGGGACAAGAAGACTTCTGAGTTCTTCACACAGCCAGGAAAGCTTGGGTAAAAAGAACCAAGGGATCATGGTAGCCGCTCACACAAAGCTTTAGAGGGGAAGATGCCTTCTTTTAGGGTTCAAAGCACATTTCTCATTCTTGAAAATGGATAGCAGATTTATCAGGAGGCGTTGGGAGTGGCCTGTGCAGTGAAGGATTAACCTTGACTGAAGATAGGTTTCATCTTTTGTGCCCCAACTTGGGAGGTAACTTCGAAGCCACTGGGATGTTCTGGCAGATAAGAATGCCTTTGTTGCCGGGCGCGGTGGCTCATGCCTGTAATCCCAGCACTTTGGGAGGCTGAGGCGGGTATATCACGAGGTCAGGAGATCAAGACCATCCTGGCCAACACGGTGAAACCCCGTCTCTACTAAAAATACAAAAAATTAGCCGGGCATGATGGCAGGTGCCTGTAGTCCCAGCTACTCAGGAGGCTGAGGCAGGAGAATGGCGTGAACCCGGGAGGCGGAGCATGCAGTGAGCCAAGATTGCGCCATTGCACTCCAGCCTGGGCGACAGAGCGAGACTCCGTCTCAAAAAAAAAAAAAAAAAAAAAAAAAAAGAATGCCTTTGTTTACCGAGGGGCTTTGGGCTATGCTAGATAGTCTCTTCTAACAGTAAGATTCATCCTGGGGACTTTGGGCCACATGATATTAATTTGACCTCTTGAGGGGCTAGAGACTAAGGTCAGCCTTATAGTTGTCAGACATATCTGTATTACCAACCTCCAATGAAAGCCCTGGATGCCAGGCCTCAGGCAGGTTGGTGATATTCCATACTTCATATCACACATTTTTGCTAGGAAAAAGAAACTTTGCTCACGATGCCACTGGGAGCAGATGACTGAGTGCTCTGTGCCTGGCCTCACCTGGACCATGCTCTATGAACCTTTTTGCATTACTAATTTTAATCAATATCATTTCACTGTAGTAACTATAGCCATGTGACCAGGCACGGTGGCTCACGCCTGTAATCCCAGCACTCTGGGAGGCCAGGGCAGGTGGATCACTTGAGGTCAGGAGTTCGAGACCAGCCTGGCCAACATGGTGAAACCCCATCTCTACTAAAAATACAAAAATTGGCCAGGTGTGGTGGTGCAGGCCTGTAATCCCAGCTACTCGGAGGCTGAGGCAGGAGAATCAGTTGAACCCAGGAGGCAGAAATTACAACCAGCTGAGATCGTGCCACTGCACTCTAGCCTGGGTGACAGACAGAGACTCTATCTCAGAAAAATAAAATAATAAAATAAAATAAATAAAATAAAATAAAATAAAATGAATAAACTGTAGCCATGAGTATAACTGCTTTGCTGAGTTCCATGAATCCTAGCAAACTATTGAACCTGAAGGTAATCTTGGAGATATTCCCAAAGCATAATTATAAATAAAGTTTTGTGACTAGTGTTTCTTCACTTAACAATAGAGCATAATTGCATTTTATATTATTAAACATTTTCCATCATTTAAATGGCATATATCCAATATATGGCTATCCTCAAACTTACTTTACTATTATTAATTTACCTGCCCTACTACATTACTTTATTATTGGACCTTTAGATAGTACCCGAATTTTCCCTATGGAAATATTGCTGAAAATAACAATTATAAGTAGATGTATTTGTTTGTCCATCATTTTGACTTTATAACAAATTCCTAGAAGTGGGATACTCCATCAAATGGTACGCATATTTGTTTCATATTGCCAAAGAGTCTTCACAAATATTTTCCCAGTTTACATTTCTCATACCCTTGACAATTCTGTGCATTAGCATTTTTCCATTTCTGCCAAATTAAGAGGTGGAAAATGCTATCTGAATATTAGTTGAACTTGCTTTAATTTGCACTTCATTGATTACTAATGGGAGTGGACAGCTTTTTCAGATGTTTTTATTAGTCCTTTGAGAACTCCCTGTCATTTAGGAGATTCTCGATCTTTTTTTTTTTTTTTCCAGTTTGCACCAATTCACACTCCCACCAGCAGTATTTGAGAATTCCTGATTAGAAAAGGGCCGTATTGGTGTGAGCTGGACTCACTGGGGTGGACCCAGCAGGTGAGGCTGGGGTTTGAATAGACGGGCATTTTCATCAGGGAAACCTGCATGTAGTGAGAGGCAGGTATATTTCAGAACCTGAGGATAAAGCAGCTGGGTGGGAGCAGAGGGTGGGTCAGGTTGAGCAAGAAACAGCAGAGCTGGCTAGACGGGCCTCAAGGTGGAAAGACTTGAGTCATAGCCAGACCACTTATCCTGTGGACAGCAATAACCCACAACAGGTCCCTATGCAAGGGAACAATTTATAACTATTGACTTTCTTGCTTAACCAAATATTTAAATTCTCAACATGTGTGGTATTGCTAAAAAGTCTGTTTTAATTTTTATCTTCCACCCACCCAATCTCCCAAGCCTCCATCTGCTCAACTCTGCTCCTCAAACACATATCCATATCGCAGTACCTATACCACCAACACTACCATGGTATGTACTACATACACACTCACATACACATGTACACATAACACACATGCACACACACAAATATACACACTCACATACACACACGCACACACATACACACACAAGCACACAAACATACACACATAAACACACTCACATACACATATACACATTCACACATATACATACACTCACACATATATACATACACATGCACACATATACAAACATACATACACACATACACAACATATACACACAAGCACATATACACACATGCATACACACATGCACACACAACACACACATGCACACAAACACATACACATTTACACATGCATGCACACACAATACACACTGTACACACATATACACATACATGTACACATACACTAACATGTTTCGAGAAGTCAGGGACCCCAAATGGAGGGATCAGCTGGAGCTGCAGCAGAGGAACATAAATTGTGAAGATTTCATTTTAATATGGACATTTATCAGTTCTCAAATAATGCTTTTATAATTTCTTATGCCTGTCTTTAATCTCTTAATCCTGTTATCTTTGTAAGCTGAGGATGTACATCACCTCAGGACCACTGTGATAATTGTGTTAACTGTATAAATTGATTGTAAAACATGTGTGTTTGAACAATATGAAATCAGTGCACCTTGAAAAAGAACAGAATAATAGCAATTTTTATGGAACAAAGGAAGACAACCATAAGGTCTGACTGCCTGCAGGGTCGGGCAAAAAGAGCCATATTTTTCTTCTTGCAGACAGCCTATAAACGGACGTGCAAGTAGGAAACATATCGCTAAATTATTTTCCTAGCAAGGAATATTAATATTAATACCTTAGGAAAGGAATGCATCCCTGGGGGAAGGTCTATGAACGGCCGCTCTGGGAATGTCTGTCTTGTGCAGTTGAGATAAGGACTGAAATAAGGCCTGGTCTCCTGCAGAACCCTCAGGCTTACTAGGGTTGGGAAAACTCAGCCCTGGTAAATCTGTGGTCAGACCAGTTCTCTGCTCTCGAACCCTGTTTTCTGTTAAGATGTTTATCAAGACAATACGTGCACCGCTGAACATAGACCCTTATCAGTGGTTCTTCTTTGCCCTTTGCCCTGTGATATTTGTGAGACCCTTATCAGTGGTTCTGCTTTTCGCCCTTTGAAGCATGTGATCTTTGTACCTACTCTCTGTTCTTACACACACCCCCCTTTTGAAACCCTTAATAAAAACTTGCTGGTCTGAGACTCGGGCGGGCATCACGGTCCTACCGATATGTGATGTCACCCCTGGCGGCCCAGCTGTAAAATTCCTCTCTTTGTACTATCTCACTTTATTTCTCAGCCGGCCGACACTTACGGAAAATAGAAAGAACCTACATTGAAATATTGGGGATGGGTTTCCCCAATACTAACACACATACACACACATGCACACACAACACATACACACAAGCACACATATATGCACACTCATACACGCATACACATGCACACACAACACATACACACAAGCACACATATGCACTCATACACGCATACACATGCACACACAACATACACACAAGCACACATATATGCACACTCATACACGCATACACATGTACACACATGCACACATACAAACATACACATACACACTCACATACACAAACACACACGTGCACACATGCACAGATGCACACACATACACACATATACACACTTATACAGGTGTAAAAATATACACACATACACATATATACACATAAACACTGACATATACCACATGCACACACATATACATGCACAAACATGCACACACATACACACACATACACATACATACTCATGAATGCACGCACATACACACATACATAAATACACACACGTACATACATATACATATGCACATACATACATATGCCTACCCACCCATTTTGCCATCCAGTGGGCCCTTCTGGTTTGAATGTCCTTGTTCCACTTTTTCACCTTTAGAATAAAGATACCTTCTTTACCCTAAAGGTGTAGAATAAAGTCCTACAAATCTTTTAAGGCCACAGTCTGCTTGTTCATATCCTTGGGAGCTCAGTTACAAGCTGTACCACGATGTGTCTGTTTCCTTATCAGTCTACCTGCTGACAAAGATTAAGACCAATTCTGTTTTGTGGTTGTCATAGTCATTAGGAACCGATCTTTCCTAGAACTCTCCAAGCCTTAGTGGTCTGATTTGAGGGTCCCTAGGGAAGCTTTCCCACCTGAGAATTTCACACATTTGCCAATAAACCAGAAATTCTACTTCTTTTGAGTCTCAGTGGGTTTTCATTTTCCAGCTTCTCCTAATAAACTGAAAGTGCTCTTACTGTCAATCTCTCATCAGCTAATATTCTGATCATTGGCCCATATCTAAGTGGTGATCAGACAACAGCTCGGCTTTGCCTGAGTGCAGGTGAGTCGGGCAAGGACAAAAGAACGTGCACACTAGGACTTCACCTGTGTTGCTGCTTCCTGGCAGCAGACTCTGAAGGGAGAGTAACAGATGCCCACAACTGGAATCAAAATTTAATCTGGAGGCCAGGCACAGTGGCTACTGCCTTAATCCCAGCACTAGAGGCCAAGACAGGTAGATCACTTGAGGCCAGAAGTTGGAGACCAGCCTGGTCAACATGGTGGAACCCCATCTCTACTAAAAATACAAAAATTAGCTGGGCATGGTGGCTCACGCCTGTAGTCCCAGCTACTCGGGAGGCTGAGGCACAAGAATTGCCTGAACCCAGGAGGCGGAGGTTGCAGTGAGCCGAGATCACACCACCACACTCTAGCCCGGGTGACAGAGCAAGACTCTGTCTCACATAATAATAATAATAATAATAATAATCTGGAAAATAGCTGCAGAAGTAGCTCCAGCATGCATATTGGTCCCTGAGTTTCAATTCTCAATACATCATATTAAATGCCTCCATCCTCTTTACACTAACCTGGATCAAAAAAGAGAAGAACTGGCATCCTGTGGACAGTAACTGTCCAGAAAGTCTTGAGATAAATTTATTCATAAAACCAGGCATCCCAGTGAATCTGTTGGGCCATTTTTTAATAACTTCCATGTCTTCATCTTAAATAACACGTATTTCACAGTTCACTCCTGTCTTCCATCCTACTCCCTCCTTTTGTTCTTTCTGTGTAACTTTCTTTATCCATGGCCTAAGCGCTGAGGATACAGAGGTAAATGCTGTCACCTTTCACAGACTCTCAGTCCGTCCCTCTCGTAATCCCTTCCCCATGGTGTTGTCTGTCACTCATGGCTCTTTGTGTGGGTGTGCGCATTGCCGTGTGATGCAATTCCCTCATCTTCTCATGAAAACACACGCACAGCCAAGTTGACTCTATCATCCATGCTTGTCAGAAGCAGGGAGGCCTTTGCGTGACTCTCCTCTGGGTTACAGGAAAGACATAAACATGAAAAATGTGCTTTTAATTGTATTTGCTTGCACTCCTACTCAAGTCTATTCTTTTTTTTTTTTTTTTTTTTTTTTAAGACAGAGTCTCGCTCTGTCACCAGGCTGGAGTGCAATGGCGCGACCTCGCCCCATTACAACCTCCACCTCTCGGGTTCAAGCAATTCTCCTACCTCAGCCTCCCGAGTAGCTGGGGCTACAGGCATGCGCCACCACACCCGGCTAATTTTTGTATTTTTAGTAAAAACGGGGTTTCACTATATTGGCCAAGCTGGTCTCGAACTCCTGACCTCGTGATCCGCCCACCTCGGCCTCCCGAAGTGCTTGAATTACAGGCATGAGCCACTGCACCCGGCCCAAGTCTATTCTTAAAAGCCAGAAGAAGGGGCCCAGCGCGGTGGCTCACACTTTTAATCCCAGCACTTTGGGAAGCCAAGGCAGGTGGATCACCTGAGGTCAGGAGTTCGAGACTAGCCTGGCCAACATGGTGTAACCCCGTCTCTACTAAAAATAAAAAATTAGCTGGGTGTGGTGGCGTGCTCTTACAGTCCCAGCTACTCAGGAGGCTGAGGCAGGAGAATCGCTTGAACCCAGGATGAGGAGGTTGCAATGAGCTGAGATTATGCCACTGCACCCCAGTCTGGGCAATAGAGTGAGACTCCATCTCAAAAAAAAAGGAGAAAAAAAAAAGCCGGAAGAAGGACCCATTAACAGCAATCACAGCCCCACAACCAGCACTGAGGCAACAACAAGGATCTCTGGTTCTAATTTTTCTTCCCAAAATCCTCTGGAGGCAGCGCTGAAGACACCTTACAGCAGGGGGGTGATTAAGTCAATTTCCGGGAAACAAGCCAACAGGTTGCGTTGTGGTTTAGAACAAAAACCTTGATTAAATAAATTAGAGTCTTGGGAGCCCTCTTTCTCTGAACCCCAATTCCATGGTACTCATACTAAGATGCTTCAGTTCAATTCTGCAAATGTTTATTGAGCGCCTGCTATGTGGCAAGCACAGTGCATGGCGCTGGAGCTAATGAGTGATAGAGCCTCTTCTCTCTAGAAGCTCATCCTGACAGGCAGACAGGACACACCCTAAGTGACTCTATTACTCAGTAGCCTATAGTAGGTGCTAATTTAAGGGTTCAAACAGAAGTGCAATGAGGAAAGACAGAAAGGAAACAGTAATCAGAGAGGCAGTGGAGCTTAAGAGGTAGGAATTGGAACCCAGAGCCAGTGGACTGGCTCAACACTCTCAACCATTTGACTTAATCTCATTAATCCTCAACTTCCTCACCTGTAATATCAGCATAATTCTAGTAACATCCTTATTGTGTTATTCTGGAAAGGATTTTTAAAACGGTGGATGTGTCCTTCTCAGCACAGTGCCTGGCACATAGTAAGTGCTCAGCGTAAATATTAGATAGCAGCAGGGCAGCACACAATAACTTCTTTGAAAATTATTATAATAGGATTTTCTATGACCTCTGAATGTTAATTTTAGAAATGTTCTTAATTATGGAGGAATCTCAAAAGACTTCCTGGTTCCAGTTCTTCCTAGGTGTCCAGCTGCCAACTCCCCCTGCAGATCCAGGGACTTGCGGGCTCTCTAACTGTGTGAGCCAATTCCTGAGAATACATTTCTGTCTCTATGTATACATCCTATGGATTCTGTTCCTCTAGAGAACCCCGAGGAATACAAGTACGGTTTACATCTGAAAACGGAGCACATCCCTCCCCAGGCAGGGTTTGGGTAACTTTTCTCCGAAGTCATGACCTAAATGCAAAATAACTGGGCCAAAAAGGAAGTCCATCAAAAGGATAGACTTTTTGGAATTTTTCCTGTAAGTCTCTATTAGTTTCTTAAGGCTAAATAAATTGGGATATCATAAAAAGTACTTTTCATGCTTTTCTGATAAATCCAGGAAAAGATATGGGAGAGATATAGATATATAGATATACATTTGGTTAATGTCAGTCAAGTGTTGTGAGAAACGGCCTCTCGTCAAGAATATCCCAGTGGGCAGCTCAGGCTCCTGGGTTGCCTAGCATGCTGCCCTGTGACACTGTGTGGTCACTTAGCACTCCAAATCCCGCTCTGCCAAATACCTCTAATATTGCTTCCAGCTCCACAATGCCAAAATAAAGCTCTATGAAATGTACACTAAATATAAATAGAAATAATTACACATTTGTGACTGCGCATCGATTTACAGATTTATAGACCCATCACTCAAAGCTTGATATCGGCATCAACTGACATTTGGTAGCAGCAGTTATCTCAGTTCTTAAGGCTTCCTGATGCTGGCTACAAAGCTTATGTGCTTTATGTGAGATCCAATTTTTTTTTACTTTTTACATGTTTATTTATTACTTATTTTTTAAAGAGACAGGGTCTTGCTACGTTGCTCAGGCTGGAATGCATGATAAAACCCCATCTCTACCAAAAATACAAAAATTAGCTGGTTGTGGTGGTGAGCACCTGTAGTCCTAGCTACTCAGGAGGCTAAGGCAGGAGAATCACTTGAACCCAGGAGGTAGAGTTTGCAGTGAGCTGAGATCACGCCACTGCACTCCAGCCTGGGCAACAGAGTGAGACACCATCTCCAGAAAGAAAACAAAATAAAAATAAAACTGATGGCAATAGGTGAATAACACGGAAGCAGAGCAACATGAAAAAAAAAAATCTATATATGAAATTAGATCGAAAGAGAGCCCATGAAGACCTCTCTGGCACAGGTCACAATCAATACATAAGCCTCGGCCTCAAACTTCACACTCATCAATTCACAAGATGTCAAACTCCTGTCCACCACATACTGCAACCAAAGGGTGAGGAGTGCTATTGTCTCATCTGAGGCTGGGGAAACCCGGCACTCAATCGTATGTACTCCTACATAATCATCAAACAGATTTGTGCAGTGGTGTCTGCAGAGTGCTCAGCGGTCCATGGAGGTTTATTTATTTATTTTTTATTTTTTTTTGAGACAGAGTCTCACTCTGTCATCCAGGCTGGAGTGCAGTGGTGCAATCTCAGCTCACTGCAACCTCTGTTTCCCAGATTCAAGCGATTCTCCTGCCTCAGCCTCCCGAGTAGCTGGGATTACAGGCACGTGCCACCACGTGTGGTTAATTTTTGTATTTTTAGTAGAGACAGGGTTTCGCCATATTGGCCAGGCTGGTCTCGAATTCCAGACCACAAGGCCGATCCGTCCGCCTCGGCCTCCCAAAGTGCTGGGATCACAGGCATGAGCCACCGCGCCTGGCCGTCCACAGAGGTTTAGAGGCCACCGTGGAAGAGGGGAGAAAAACACAGAGAACACCATCTGTGTCTGCTTCCTGGGTGCGCCAGAACAAAGATGAACTTATTGTCTCACAGTTCTGGAATCTGGGAAGTCCAAGATCAAGGTGTTGGCAGGACTGGTTCCTTCTGAGAGCCGTGAGGAAGAATCTGTCCGGGCCTCTCTCCTCTTCCGATGGTGTGCTGGCCGTCTTTGGTGTTCCTTGGCTTAAAGAAGCATCACCTCAATCTCCGTCTTCATCCTTACATGGCATTTTCCCTGTACATGTGACTGTGTTTATACTGCCCCCCACCTTTTTTTTTTTTTTTTTAAGACAGAGTCTCCCTCTGTTGCCCCTGCTGGTGTGCTGTGGCACAAACTCAGCTCACAGCTCACTGCAACCCTCACCTCCTGGGTTCGAGTGATTCTCCTACCTTGGCCTCCCGAGTAGCTGGGACTAGAGTTGTGAGCCACCACAACCACACCTGGCTACTTTTTGTATTTTTAGTAAAGACAGGGTTTCACCATGTTGGCCAGGCTGGTCTTGAACCCCTAACGTCTGATGATTCGCCCATTTCATCCTCCCAAAGTGCTGGGATTACAGGTGTGAGCCACCATGCCTGGCACTTCCCCCTTTAATAAGGACATCAGTTATGTCAGACGAGGTCCCACTCTCATGACTTCATCTTCATCAATTACATCTGTAACAACTCTATTTCCAAATAAGGTCATGTTGGAGGTACTGGGAGTTAGGACTTCAACATATGAATTGGGAGGGGGCGGGGCACACAATTTAACCCATAGCCCTCTCCTGCTTCAAAGCCTGTATGAATATGTAAACTCACATTTTAGAAGTGCATTTTTGGCCGGGTGCGGTGGCCCACACGTGTAATCTCAGCACTTTGGGAGGCTGATGCAGATGGATCATGAGGTCAGGAGATCAAGACCATCCTGGCTAACACGGTGAAACCTTGTCTTTACTAAAAATACAAAAAATTAGCCGGGTGTGGTGGCAGTCGCCTGTAGTCCCAGCTACTCCGGAGGCTGAGGCAGGAGAATGGCGTGAACCCGGGGAGCAGAGCTTGCAGTGAGCCGAGATGGCGCCACTGCACTCCAGCCTGGGCGACAGAGCGAGACTCTGTCTCAAAAAAAAAAAAAAAGTGCATTTTTATTTTGAATTAGTATAAGACTCACAAGAAGTTGCAAAAATAGTGCCAGGAGGTCTCACACACCCTTCACCCAAAGATTGCTTATGTAACGCTAGTTAGTACATTGTAGAAAGCAGGAAATTGATATTGGTATGATGCTGTTAACTCTGGAACAGATCTTACTGATCAACTTTTACATACAAATTTTCAAATCTGTTTTTTAAGTCCAACAATAATAAGAAAAAATAATAACTACATGTTTTAAAAGATACAAAATGAGAATAGTACCAGTAAAACATGATTTCTTAATGTAAAATATCAAAATATAATGTACTTGGTTTCAAGAGCAGCAAATTCTGGCATTTGAACTACAGTACTTGATTTGGGTTTATAAAATGTTAGCAGGCTATTGAGGCAGAGGTCCAGAAGATGAAATATTTTCCTATTATTTCACTGGATCAATAAACTCTGCTTTGTGTTCAAAGCCTCTCAGCTCAGTGCTTTGCAACGGTTCACTTTCATTTCTCCTCCATTTCCCCTCCAGAAACCAAGGTCATCTCCCTCCACCATTCGGTCTTAGCAGCTAAGCCCTAATCCTCACAATTATTAGAGGAATTGTTCTTAGGTCACTATTCTGTTTCTACTAACTTTTTGGAAAATGCAAGATGTAGTGTATTGGGGAGGGGCAACCACAAAATTCCTGAAATGGGCCTGGCGCGGTGGCTCACGCCTGTAATCCCAGCACTTTGCAAGGCCGAGGCAGGCGGATCACGAGGTCAGGAGATTGAGACCGTGCTGGCTAACACGGTGAAACCCCATCTCTACTAAAAATACAAAAAATTAGCCGGGTGTGGTGGCGGGCACCTGTAGTCCCAGCTACTCGGGAGGCTGAAGCAGGAGAATGGCGTGAACCCATGAGGCAGAGGTTGCAGTGAGCAGAGATCACGCCACTACACTCCAGCCTGGGCGACAGAGCAAGACTCTGTCTCAAAAAAAAAAAAAAAAATTCCTGAAATGAATTTAGATCTGAAATTCCAAATTCTCCCATGAGAAGAGTGGGGATTTGAGATTTCTAAGGTATAGATTTTACAAGTTACTCCTTCCCAAAGAACCCATGCCCACCAAGACCATGATGAGGTGAAGAGAATCCTGAAGTTACACCAAGGGAAAGGAAGTCCCCCACAGCAAGAGAGGCCAGGCAACTGGAAGGCAAGAAAGATGAGGAATGAAGCAAACCTCAGAAGGCACATTTGGATAAAAAACTGACAGAATATGCCCTTCCCACTCTAGATTAGGTGAGAGGGCAAGGTTGAGTGAGTGGGCATTGGAATGGCTAAAGATGGGCAGGGGAGGGTTGTAGGAAGAGGACACGTTCATGTCTTCCACAGACCTGGCTCAAGGTTAATTATAATACCTTTGCAAAGTTGAACCTGACCTTCCTGTACCCACCTAGAGCTCCCACTCCAAGTAACCACTTAGCCATTCCTGTTCCTGGGAGGATTTACAGGGAAAATTGTGATTGGGTCTCATCACCATCAATGGCATCCCATTTTGTTATTATGTTTTAAATCATCAATTTGTGCCAATATTGATAGAATTAGTGAGACAGTAAGTACCCTACCTGTCGGGGAGAAAGCAATACTTACCTTGACAACCTGAGGAGGCCGCACTGGGTATGTATGGTACAGATGCTAACTGAACTTTAAAGGGGTCAGTACATTCAGTGAATATATATTGAGCCTGTGCGGCATGTCAGGCTCTCCTTTAGGCTTTGGACATACAGCAGTGAAAAAGACAAACCATTTTTTGACCTTGTGGAACTTATCATCTAAGGGGAGCAAACAAATAACAAATACCTAAATGTATAATGTAACGCCAGAAGTAATGTGTGTCATAAAAAAGAAAGCAGTGTAAAGAGAAAAAGAAAAGCCAGGCACAGTGGTGCACGCCTGTAATCCCAGCACTTTGGAGGGCCAAGGTGGGCAGATCGCTTGAGCTCAGGAGTTCAAGACCAGGCTGGGTAACATGGCAGAATCCCATCACTACAAAAAACAGCTGGGCAGTACAAAAATTAGCCAGGCATGGTGGTGAGCACCTGAAGTCCCAGCTACTTGGGAGGCTGAAGTGGGTGGATCACGTGGGCCTGGGAGGTGGAGGTGGCAGTGAGCCAAGATCATGCCACTGCACTCCAGCCTGGGTGACAGAGCCAGACCCTGTCTTGCAAAGAAAAAAAAAAGAAAAAACAGAACGAGAAAAAGGAGGAAGGTGCTGGTTTAGATTGGGTGGCCCTTCTTTGAGGAAGAAGGAGGCATTTGAGCAGGGACCTGAGTGACGTGAGATAGCCAGGCAAGTGGTCTAGGCAGAGGGAACCATAGGTGCAAAGGCCCTGGGGCAGCAGCCAGCTTACTTAGGGAAACTGGAGGGACAGGTGAGTGAGTGAGGATATGAAGCCACGGGATAGCCAGGAGCCTGGTCACATTGGACCTCCTGGTGAAGATTTTGGATTTTGTGCAAATGTTTGTAGAAAGCCATAGGAGGATTTTGAACAAGGGAGTGACAAAAACATATTTCGGTTTTAAGTAAAACAGAAGTAGATGAAATGACACTAGTTAGAGGGCTAGTCCAGCAGTTGCAGGGAGAGATGGCAGTGGCTTGAAATGAAGCTGTAGCAGAAGTGGCTGAAGCAGCCAGATTTAGGATATATCTTGTAGGTAAAGGCAGCAGGACCTGCTAATGGATCGAATAGAAGGTGTGAAACAAGGAGAAGAATCTAAGATTCATACTGCGTTTTGAGTATGGTATCACTGATTGCAGTGGGAAACTCAAGTTCTGTTGGCTTTCTGAAATGTGAGGTGTTATTAGTCATCTCAGAGAATGTGTCCCGTAGGCAATCGGGGTGCCCGTTAACAAAGCCTTGTAAAATGACTCACAAAAGAAACAAATTGGGCCGGTCGTGGTGGCTCACGCCTATAATCTCAGCACTTTAGGAGGCCGAGGCAGGTGGATCACCTGAGGACAGGAGTTCGAGGCCAGCCTGGCCAATGTGGGGAAACCCCACCTCTACGAAGAAAACATCAAAAAAAAAAATTATCTAGGCATGGTGGCACACACCTGTAATCCCAGCTATTCGGGAGGCTAAGGCAGGAGAATCACTTGAACCTGGGAGCGAGAGGTTGCAGTGAGCCGAGATTGCACCACTGCATCCCAGCCTGGGCAACGGAGCAAAACTCCATCTTAAAAAAAAAAAAAAAAAAAAAGAAACAAACAAACAAACAAATTAGGAGATGCTTAATTGTGAGATATACTGGATTAATAAGAAAGGTGAAGCCAGCTCAAATTACAGGGGCCCATTATCCTAAAGTCCAGTACTCTTTTCCCCGGGGTCTGTCTCCAGAGTGTGAGTGTGAAGCAGTCTGCACCACCCTACTCTGGCCCCGTGGACTTAATCGTGGCATCTGAGGCTGGTTCTGCCTTTCAGTCTGCCTGGCTGCGATGTTGAGTCCTACCTGCGTATCGCCACACTTTCCCCTGCAGGGAGCCTCCTTCCATCCCTAAGCAGCCAGCTGCAGTCCTGCTCCAAAAGGACAGGACGCTCAGGATCTAGGAAATGAGCGTTTTCCAAACACCAGGTTGAATCCCTTGGAACTGAAACTAGACTCAGTCAAGCTCAAGTTCATCACATCCCTTTGGGCAGCCAGCTACCCCCAACCCTACTACACTCACACCCACCAGGTCCCATTCACCCCGGCCAGAGCACTGAATTTCAGCAACCCTACCCCATACAGCGTCTGACGCTGCAGTTTCTTTAAACATTTGGTGCACTTGCAACAGAAATTGAATTTCTGAAAACCATTTTCACACAATTTGTCAAGTCACATATGCTGGGAGAAGAGAAACCCACCTGTAGCAGAATAATTTTATTTCTGTTTATTTTAAAATAAGGAGGAGAAAGCTATCTGATTTCAGGCTTTCTTGGGAATCTTATCCTAGTAATTTGGACAAATGGCTGGTATCTAGATAGCAACAAATCTATTTCTGATAATTAACCGACAGTGAAAAATACTAAGGTCCCACCATTTGTCATTTGAAGTGAACTATGTGCCCTGCTGGAGGGAGTGTCATTACGCAGCTGCCGAGCTAGCAAACAAAACTAGAACATCTCCAGAGAAGTTTCTAACCTTGGCTCCAATTCCTTAGATGAACTTCTGTGACTCTCACTGCGGAAAACTCCAGAGGACTTTTGTCTGTCCTCTGCCCAGATCTGACACGGGTAGGAGCACGATGCAGCTCTCCCCAGGTGATCAGCTGTCCCCAGAAGACAATATGGCACCAGACGGTCTTTCTCGAATGCTTGGAGAGGCAAAGCGATGGCCAAGGGTTTCCACTGAAGCTGCCATCAGGACAGGAGTGAATGCAGGGTCCTTCTTTGTGATTTTGACCTTCACCGACCTTGATTATTCAATGTGACCTTTCCCTGGACCTACGTCATCCCTTTCAAGAACGTTATTCCCATTTACCATTCTCTGGGTACACAGTTCAGCATAATTTTATTTTTAGACCTATGTCTAGAGACTAACTTTAAGATAATGTTCATAAAAAGTTATAAATTCCTACTGAAATGTATATGGTCATAAATTTTCCTTCCCTTCTGTTTCACAGCTGTTGCCTCCAAAATGCTGTTTTCAATTTATTCGCAGTCCCACCTTCTTCTTTCTTTCGCCCAAACCCTTTCAGTTTGAATCCACAGGACACTGACAGTTAAGTCACCCTTTGTCAAGTGGATGAATGTGCACACTTGCATTTTTCTGGAGCCACCAAGCATATCAAATCCTGTGTGAAGAGAATTCCCAGTCTTTCTTTCCGGCTGCCCCAGCTGACAACAGGGGGTCTTCACTGAGAGACCCTCTCTCTGGGCAGCTTCAGTGAGAGCCACATTTCCAGTTCCAGGGCTGTGAGGTGCTGTCAGAAAGCCGCAGAGAGCAGGTCGGCGTGGGTGGTAACACATCCCAGAGGGTCAGGCACAGCAAGACCTCCCTCTTTGTCTCCACAGACTCCAACTTAAAGACCACAGCCACACAGCGGACTAAATTAGAGAGTAGGCACTTGAGATTCCCTAAAGAAAGACACTGCAGAACTACAGGGTATCCACCATATTTATGGCATCCAAAATGCCTTGTGATCTATAGAAATCTGTCTTCTCCGCTTCTTCCCTTCATCTTCCCTTCCATGGCTGTAAAACTTCATTTCCCACAATTGGGACTGAATGAAAGAGGACTCCAATAAAAAGAGGGAGAATAGCCAATTTGACACCACTGTGCAGAGTGATCAGATGCATTCAGCTCTGATAAAGGAGAGGACTCGGAGAGAGGCGGGCCCAGGAACCCATGGCTGTCTGTTAGTGGAGAGTTTATTCACCCAGATGTTGGGTGCCTGTTGCTGTAAGAGGAGCTTAGGAATCAGAGATGAATGTGGTTGTCAAGGAATTATGTGTTCTGGCTACTTATTACGAGATATGTGGCCTGAGATAATTACTCAACCTCTTGAGCCTCTGTTTTCTTTTCTGACAAATGGGAAGAATTAAATCCATCACTACACGTAAAGAGACTTTCCAAGTGACTACAAGTGACTACAAATATTAGTCATTATTTGTATTAAAAATAAACTCCTAGACCAGGCACGGTGGCTCACGCCTGTAATCCCAGCACTTTGGGAGGCCGAGGCAGGCAGATCACTTGAGGTCAGGAGTTCAAGAACAGCCTGGCCAACATGGCAAACTCCATCTCTACTGAAAATATAAAAAATTAGGCCGTGCATGGTGCTCACGCCTGTAATCCCAGCACTTTGGGAGGCTGAGGTGGGTGGATCATGAGGTCAGGAGATCGAGACCATCCTGGCTAACACGGTGAAACCCCATCTCTACTAAAAAGACAAAAAATTAGCCGGGCGTGGTGGCAGGTGTCTGTAGTCCTAGCTACTCAGGAGGCTGAGGCAGGAGAATGGCGTGAACCCGGGAGGTGGAGCTTGCAGTGAGCCGAGATCGCGCCACTGCACTCCAGCCTGGGCAACAGAGCAAGACTCCATCTCAAAAATAAATAAATAAATAAAAATGTTAAAATTAGCCAGGTATAGTGATGCATGTCTGTAATTCCAGCTACTCAGGAAGCTGAGGCATGAGAATCACTTGAACCTGGGAGGCCAAAATCGTGCCACTGCACTCCAGCCTGGGTGATGGACTGAGACTCTGTCTCAAAGATAAGAAATTATTTTTATTTTTACTTTTATTTTATTTTTTCAGATGGAGTCTCGTTCTGTCGCCCAGGCTGGAATGCAGTGGCGCGATCTTGGCTCACTGCAAGCTCCACCTCCCGGGTTCATGCCATTCTCCTGCCTCAGCCTCCCGAGTAGCTGGGACTACAGGCACTCACCACCACGCCCAGCTATTTTTTGTATTTTTAGTAGAGACAGGGTTTCACCATGTTAGCCAGGATGGTCTCGATCTCCTGACCTCGTGATCTGCCCGCCTCAGCCTCCCAAAGTGCTGGGATTACAGGCATGAGCCACCGCGCCCGGCCATAAATTATTTTTAAAAATAAAAAATAAATAAACTCCTGGAGTCCCATAAGAGAGGTGTAGGAGTTCAAAGGAAAGGAGATTTTCTTTAGGTGGGGTAATCAGGAAGGGTTCATGGGAAAAGCAGTTTGTGAATGGATCCTTGAAGGATTTGTAGGGTTTAGCCAGGCAATTATGAGGAAAGAGAATCGGCCGGGCGCGGTGGCTCACGCCTGTAATCCCAGCACTTTGGGAGGCCGAGGCGGGCGGATCACGAGGTCAGGAGATCGAGACCATCCCGGCTAAAACGGTGAAACCCCGTCTCTACTAAAAATACAAAAAATTAGCCGGGCGTAGTGGCGGGCGCCTGTAGTCCCAGCTACTTGGGAGGCTGAGGCAGGAGAATGGCGTGAACCCGGGAGGCGGAGCTTGCAGTGAGCCGAGATCACGCCACTGCACTCCAGCCTGGGCGACAGAGCGAGACTCCGTCTCAAAAAAAAAAAAAAAAAGAGAATCAGTAACAACATGTGGGCAGCAAACAATGAAGCTCAGATGGACAAAAACAGGGAATTGTTCCCAACTAGGGTTTCTGAATTATGAAAATGATTCTTATATAAGTGAAGCCCCTCAAATCAACTTTCATTGCACTGCTTCCTACGTTCCATGCACCACGCTGCTGCCTTGAAGGCGTGGCTTCAGCTGACCCTCTCAGCCCCCATATTAGCTCAGTCTCTCTAATGCTCCTATTTACAAAGAAACAAGCACAATTTCCCACGGTCCCACTTCCAGCGAGTGGTGGCATCAGAATTTGAGCCCAGTTGTTCTGACCAGCAGATCCCATGTATTTAAATGGAATCCTTGGGGAGGATCATTGCAAGAAAGACCAGTGTTACAGGCTGAAGTGTGACCTCCCACCCCAAAATTCATATGTTGAAGCCCTAACCCCCAGTACCTCAGCTGTGACTATATTTAGAGATGGGGAGGGAATTTAGGTAAAATGAGGTCATCAGGATGGGTCCCCATCCAACATAACTGGTGTCTTTATGAGAAGGGAAGGTTAGGACGCAGACACACACAGAGGGAAGACCGGGTGAGGATAATGGGGAGAAGGCGGCCACTTACCGGCAAAAGAGAGAGGGCTCAGGAGAAACCGACACCGCCAGCACCTTGACCTCAGACTTCCAGCCTCCAGTACTGTGAGAAAGTAAACTTCTGCTGTTTAAACCCCCCAGTCTGTGGTCCTTTGTTATGGCATCCCGAGCAAACAGATACAACCTGTCATGGAAATCTCACATCAGCACAGGGAGACAAATCATTATTTAGATCTCAGAGCCACACAACTTGATCTGAACACCTTCCTCATCGTGGGAAAAAAGGGAGCCTTTTTTTTTTTTTTTTGAGACAAAGTAAGTCTTACTTTGTCACCCAGGCTGGAGTACAGTGGGGTGATCTCGGCTCACTGCAACCTCCTCCTCCTGGGTTCAAGTGATTCTCCTGCCTCAGCACTGAGTAGCTAGGATTACAGGCATGCACCACCATGCCCAGCTAATTTTTGTATTTTTAGTAGAGATGGGGTTTCGCCACGGTGGCCAGGCTGGTCTCAAACTCCTGACCTCAGACAATCCACCCGCCTCAGCCTCCCAAAGTGCTGGGATTACAGACATGAACCACCGCACCCTGGCAGGAAGTCAATTTTTATCTCCACGGACTTCAGAAAGCCCAAGTTTCAATATTTCGGGTTCCTGTCATTAGGCTCTTAGTTTTATAAGAACAGGAACAACTGGACATTTCACCAAGGGTAGAGTATCATGAGGCAGAGCCCTGTCCCTTAAACACTTTACTGTTTTTTTAGAAGATTCCAGGTGGAGCCATACCAGAACTGGGCAGGTGAAATCCTGCCTCAACCAGTCGCTGGAGGATTTATCTTGGAGAAAGCATTGCAGGGTCTGTGGTCGCAGTTTGGACTTTTTGACATTTGATTATTTGCACAATTAAAATTTATTTTAGGCCAGGCACGGTGGCTCATGCCTGTAATCCCAACACTTTGGGAGGCCGAGTCGGGTGGATTGCCTGAGGACAGGAGTTCGAGACCAGTCTGGCCAACATGGTGAAACCCCATCTCTACTAAAAATACAAAAAAAAATAGCCAGACATGGTGGCGTGCGCCTGTAATCCCAGCTACTCAGGAGGCTGAGGCAAGGGAATTGCTTGAACCAGGGCAGCAGAGGTTGCGGTGAGCCGAGATCCTGCCACTGCACTCCAGCCTGGGCGACAGAGCAAGATTCCCTCTCAGGAAAAAAAATAAATAAATATTTTAAAATTACAAAAACTTTTAATGATGGAGCTGGGTGTCTTGTGTATCCTCAGGTCAGAAGCAAAAGAGCCAGTTTGAATGCTCAACCCAAACTCCCTGGCTCTTCTGGGTTAGCCCATGTCCCGGAACTGCTGGAACATCTCTCACCCCATCTCCCGCTATTCGGTCCCACAAGTGCTGCTGTCACTCCTGCTCCTGTTAATACCGCCTCAGTGTCATCAACAGCAGGAAATTACAAAGGAATTCAAATGGAAAACTAATCCCTTACAGGAGACAAAGAGCATTAAAGACAAAGCCCATTGGAATGACTTTCATTTTTTTTCTGGTGCGTGCGTGCATGTGTGTGTGTGTATCTGTGTGTGTGTGTGCGCGTGTGTGTGTGCGTGTATGTATGTGCGTGTGTGTGTGTGTGTCTGTGGGGGGTGTGCATGTGTGTATCTGTCGGGGTGTATGCACAAAAAGCAAAGGAAAGAAAACATCACTCTTGAAGCTTTCCAGGCCCCAGAAGGCACACACCAACCACAAATCTAAGGCCAAAATCTTTCCTATTGTTCAACTATGTTTAACAACAATCCACAAAATTTAATAGAGCAATTTATAATCATGTTCAACAAACAATATATGTGCACTTTATATACCCCCCAAAATTAACATTTTTTTTGCAGTTTTTAGTTCCCCCAAATTTCTCTACCACCTTCCGGTCAATTTTAATTTCCCAAAGAGAAGAGCAACGTGACAGATTTTGAGAAACAGAAGAGACCCTTGACAACTGGGAGCCGGCCTGGCACACAGCTGGGAGCGGTGTCTTCCTGTTAAACAGGCGATTCCACAGAACACCAGCACGCAATCACTCTGTGACTAAGTGGAACAAGACAGGAGCAAGACCACTCCTTAATCATGTCTAAACACTGAAAAAAATAGAATCATTTGTCCAAATCACATAGAAACCAAACATCTCCCCATCCTGGTTAATATGGGTGACCTCTGCTCCTTTACCAGTAACAGCATGAGCCTCTATTCATTCCAACCCCTTGCAGATACTGTCTGTTAAAATATCTAATCACAAAATTTGCTTCCTGACAACATTCGGTCCAGAGCAAAGCTCTGCTTCCTTGGATCAGCCCCAGAACCACCAAATACAGCCCGAATCCTATATTAAGTCCTTCCTAGCACTCTCTTACTGAGGTGCCCCACAATTCTGCATGGGGTTCTCTCTGTTTGCAACAAATAAACCCAACATGTTCCACGACAGGTGTATTCCTGTAGTTCCTGCCCCTTTACTTCAAAATTGCACAATCCTTCTGTGTTAGCTGCAGTTACTCAGTTTACACAGAAGAGCCTCAGACCCAGTTCTCAACACATTCCACTTAAATTATAGCTTCTGGCCGGGCGCAGTGGCTCACGCCTGTAATCCCAGCACTCTGGGAGGCTGAGTTGGGTGGATCACAAAGTCAGGAGTTTGAGACCAGCCTGGCCATAGTGAAACCCCGTCTCTACTAAAAATACAAAAATTAGCCAGGCCTGGTGGCATATGCCTGTAATCCCAGCTACTTGGGAGGCTGAAGCAGAAGAATCGCTTGTTCCTGGGAGGCAGAGGTTGCAGTGAGCCCAGATTGTGCCACTACACTCCAGCCTGGGTGACAAAGCAAGGCTCTGTCTTGAAAAAAAAAAAAAAATTATAGCTTCTGAGGTCTCCTCAGCTGCTACTCCATCATTCAGTCAACAAACATTTGTTTACAGGGGTTTCTGTCTGCTATTTCTCTGGCAGCAAATCCTGGAGACAATAAGAATACCCAGGCTCTGACACTCTGTGGTCTTTATATATGACCAAGTATTAGAACTGAAGGGACCTCCCTTTTACAAATGATTAAACCGGTACTCAGAGAAGTTAAGTAGCTTGCCTAGAACCATTCATACTCTCTTTTGCATGCACGTAACCTGCTAAGGGCATGCTCCCAGGTCAGTAGAGAGGTGGGGGGAAAAGAACAGGGACGTGGAAGAAGCCAGTCAAGGATGGGCTTTTGGATAAAACCTGCGGAGAGTAGTTTCAAGCCAGTGGTTCCCAACTCAGGCAACTTTGCCCCCAGAGGACATTTAGCAGTAGCTGGCATATTCTTGATTGTCATGACTTTGAGAGAGGGTCCTACTGTCATCTGGTGGATAGAAGCCAGAGATGCAGCTCATCATCCACCAATGCACAGGCAGCCCCCCACAGCAAAGACGTGTCCAGTCTAAAATATCAGTCATGCTGATGCTGAGATATTCTGGCCTCCAATGCTGACAGAAAATGAAAGTTTGACAATTTGGGACCACATGCCTGAGCCCCAGGCCAGCTGGGCCTGGAGAACACTGAATTCCCTCTTGAGCAGCTGAGAGCCAAGCCCAAGCTTGCATGGAGTATTTGGAATCAGCTGAGGCATTTGACCATTTTGCAAATTCAACCAATGTTTATTAAGAGAGTGATTGGGTTATTTCCAGGCAAACTCTCCTCCTTTTTTAAAATTTGAAGTTTGATCTAAAAGTGAAAGTAGCACAATACAGGAGAAAGGGCCCGATCCTGACAGCCAGTTGAAACTGAGTCTGAATTTCAGAGTCATCATTTTCTCAATAATACGTCTTCAGGCGGGTTACTTACACTTTCCAAGTCTCTGTTTCCTCCCCTAAGAAATGGAGGTGATCTTGCCTTGTCTTAATAGTGTTGTTGTGAGAGTTAAAACAAAGCAATAAGTAAACAGAAGAAGAACACTGGACCACATAGGCACTGAATGGATGAGAGCTACTTTGAATTTAATCATTCTGTTAGGAACTGGTCAAATAAACCTTTGGCCTCCAGCATCCTGCCAACCATCTGGTCATTAGTCTCGTGCCCAGGCTTGGGGGGAAGTTCATAAGGGTGCATGAACTTCAACTTACCAAGGAGAACTGCATCCCAAAAATCTCATATTACACTACTCTGATTTCTGGCAGAAAAGAAAATGGAGCACATAGTAAAGAAGACAGAGTACACACACACACACACACACACACAAGGTCACAGAGGTCCCCCCTGCCGCCACCCCACAACTTCTGGATGGGCTGTAGTGAAGCCGTAGCATAGGGAAGCCCCTGGCCAGGGCAGAAGGAACAGCTGTCACACGGCTGAGATGATGCTGTCTTCTAACAAGGAAGCCCTGGCACAGCCAGATCAAAGGAGACATTCTTGTCCTGATGAAAGCCCGACGAAGCCTGACAGGTAAACTTTGGCTCTTCCAGCTAAGGCAGCAAATCCAAGTTTTCCTGGCCACAAGAGTTGGGACACTTCGTGCACAAAATCCCCATTCCCAGTTCTACCTGCAAAGCAAAAATATTCCACTTGCATGTTGCTTTTATCCGTATAAAGCCAAACTCGCCTGGCAGACTTGGATCCAAGGGTTGATGCGGGGCTCTGCAGTGGGGCATCTAGGAGAGGCAAAGCTGCCTGTTCCAGCCTGTCCCCAGGGCGTTCGTGTAATTCCAGACACTAGTAATTACTCAACCTTCCCCCTCACCCCAGGGCTTCCTCCAATCTGTAACAAGCCCCAAACCATCTGGAGACGAGCGGGATCCTCCCTGGCCTCCGCAGCTTCAGGACACATCCAAAGGAAGCTGCCATCGAGCATCAAACGGCTTTGCCAACAGATCACATTTCTGGAGCTCTCGCAGTCTGAAGGGATTCGAGATGACAGATGTAACCCACATGATCTATGACAGATACAGCCATGGAGAATGTCAGCGTTAATATTTAATATTATTTGAATAACTGCCCTGTTTGTCTCACTTAACATGGCAGGCACCGTGGGCTGGCAGCCCGTCTCCCCGGGTGTTTGGCGGGGAACGAAGCTTGTAGAAAATGCTCGGTCAGCAAGATGTTCAGTAATTCAGATGTGAGATTCAGATTTGCTTTGAGAAATTACATTAAACTTGTTAAACATGAATTAGGGAGACCCCAAAGCGCTGGATACACAGAATTCCCTTCGTGCAAAAGTAGTTACAAGCACCACAGAAATTTACCTGTGGGGTTTGAAGGCTGTATTGATGACAACAGCTAAGAAAAGGTGTAACATTTAGGGAACTCATAAATAAAGATCTTTATTAAGATACGGTGCTAACTTCTCAGTCTACGCCTCCAGGGCAGGAGCAGAGGCACCTTCTCTATTTTCCTATGCCCCTCCCACCCACTCCTCTCTCCTCCCCGTTACCCCCACCATGCAGAAACTGGGGCCTGCTGTAGAATCACTAACAATGACTTCAAATGCTGCTTTTTTTTTTTTGAGACGGAGTTTTGCTCTTGTTGCCCAGGCTGGCGTGCAATGGCAGGATCTCGGCTCACTGCAACCTCCATCTCCTGGACTTAAGCAATTCTCCTGCCTCAGCCTCCCAAGTAGCTGAGATTACAGGCGCCCACCACCACGCCCAGCTAATGTTTGTATTTTTAGCAGAGACAGAGTTTCACCATGTTGGCCAGGCTGGTCTCAAACTCCTGACCTCATGTGATCCACCCACCTCGGCCTCCCAAAGTACTGGGATTACAGGCGTGAGCCACC
Organism: Homo sapiens; assembly: GCF_000001405.40. Lineage (NCBI taxonomy): Eukaryota > Metazoa > Chordata > Mammalia > Primates > Hominidae > Homo > Homo sapiens. The sequence continues at coordinate 266,712 of NT_187564.1, forward strand.
ACACTCAACCCTGCTTAACTTTTGAAGCCTGCAATTCACATATTCCTCTTGACATCCTTTCCAAGATTCACTTGCATGAAGGGTGTGGCTGCCTTCCAGCAGCTTCACATGTAATGGTTCTTTAGAGAAGTGGAAGCAAGGGCAATTGCTCTGGAGCAACATTCTAGGAAAGTGCTTGGTGCTGTTGATGGGGTAAGGGAGGGGCATTTGGAATACTTCAAGAAGACTTGAGCCAAATCATCACCTTGGGGTGATTACACACCTGCCCTGCGCACCACCCAGAAGCTGGAGGCCGGGGAGAGGTTCACCGCAGAGCCTGGGAGAGGCCTGCGGAAGTGATCCTCAGCTGTCGGAAGGGAACACACACTCAGGAGATGTGAGGGAACATTCAGGGAATACACACTCAGGCCATGCTTTGCAACGGTCTTCTCCATCCCTGTGTCACTCTGGATATAGCCAGGGCCAGGACCAGGGGGTGGCAGGCAAAACCAGGGCCTAGGGCACCAATCCAGGGAGGCGCTGGAGCTCAGGGTCGTACTAGTGCAGAGGCGGCGCCTGAGGGCCGGCGCCTCCTCCTTGGGTGTTGGCCCTGGCTCCCCCTTGCCTCCTCCTGGTCCTGGTCCTGGGAGTATAGCCAGCCTTTCTTCCATCCCTCCCTTTCGTTCTGATAATGTTATCTCAGGATTGTGTACCAGGCAAAGTTCTGAGGAAATCTAGAACAGGTCCTGGCATGCAGTGTCACCTAGGAGGCCAGCTGTCATATCTTGCTTGTTCACAGAGTGCAAAATGAGTTCCTTCAACCCAATTCAAGAATCGTTTTTTGAATATTTCTTGAGTTAAAAAGCATTTTGCTAGCCTGCTGGAGGATGCCAAAATACATGAGAAGACTCCAGTGCCCACCAGGGCTCACATTGAGAGATGAAGCCTGCTGGGGGGACGGCACTGTGAGCGTGCACGTGGGGAGTCATGTGTAGACAGCACCCACTATCCAGGTCCCGTGCCCTGTGCCTGGTGCAAGCGGCTGACAGCAGCTTTGTCCCTTGGGATCACACCAGCCACAGTAAAGCACTGAGTGCCAGCCACGGAACCGCTCCTGGGAGCCTCCGTTGCCTCATTAGTGAAGCAGAAATAACACTGCTGTAAAAGAGTGTGTATTAGTCTGGGTTCTCTGGAGAAACAGGACCAATGGTATAGAGAGAGATATATAGAAAGAGATTTATTACAAGGACTGGTTCACGTGATTACAGAAGCTGAGAAGTCCCCTAATCTGCCATTTGCACCCAGGACAGCCAGTGGTGAAGTTCCAGTCCAAACCCGCAGGCCTGAGAACCGGGGGAGCCAATGGTCTAAGTTTTGAAGGAGTTTGCAGGCCCAGCAACCAGGAGTGGGGATGTCTAAGGGAAGGAGAAAATGAACGTCTCAGCTCAGCAGGGAGAAAGTGCACTCCCCCTCCGCTTTTTGTTCTAGTTAGGCCCTCGGTGGATAGAATGGTGCCCACCTGCATTGGTAAGAGTTGACCTTCTGTACTCAGCCTACCAATTCAAACACTGATCTCTTCCAGAAACACCCTCACAGACACACCCAGAAGCAGTATTTTACTGGCTCTCTGGGCATTCCTTAGCCCAGTCAAATTGACACAGAAAATAACCATTGCATTCTCTATTTTGCAATGTAGGACAAGATATTATCTCATTTAAGCACAAACTCCTCTAATTACATTAGTTTTAATATATTGGTATGATGATGTTCTTCTCCCCTGTCCAAGGAGCTCAAAACTTGCAAGTTGTTCTGTCACCTAGATAAGTTTGAAAATTACTGGGAAAGGGCACTTTCTTTCACAGGCATGAGGTCTTTTTTGGTGGAGGATGGAGGCTGGGCTCTGGCAGGCTCCCACCGCACCTGGCGTGAGAGAGTTGAGGGCAGGCTCCAAAGCACCCAGCTGCTCAAAGCCACCAGCCACTCTGTTTTCCACTGGAACAGGGGTCAGTTCTGTCCCTGGAATTTGCAGCCTAAGTATCACAACTCCACCAAAGTCTGAAGGCAGGCTGGCAGATCTTTGGGTTGTCATATGAGTCTTTGGAGAGGTAGGATGTGGTCCTTTTGGGAAGAGTCACCCACTCTTCCTGGGCAGAGATTATCAGGACATTCAGGTTCAACTGAGATTTCAGTCACTATGTCTGAGAATTAATACACCGTAAATACTCATTGATTAAATCACTTATTTGATTCAGACTTTGCCTAAATGATATTAAGGTGGCAGACAAGAGAACTGAAAACATAGCAAAATGGGTTTCCTTAGGTTATTTTCTGATCACTTGATTAATTTTAACTTTAGTTTATCTCTACAGAATCCATCTCTGTGTCCTTTAGGAAGAGGGTGTCAAAAAACAACATCTTATAAGCCAAAGCCATTAACTTTCACTTTTGATCATGAGTTCCCTTTCTACATTTTTTATAATAAATTTTACATCTCCATGATATGCATTTCTGTTGGTGCACAGTTATTATCAGATATTTTTCACTTTAATGAATCTCTGTGCACACATACTAGGCAGAATGTAAATTTCCATATGTGATGAAATGTGTGAACAGAAGTAAAATTACAGTGCCATCTTCAGGAAACTAAAAGTCTTTCTTTACAAAGCACTACATATGTAGCTCCAAGTCAGCTAAAAATGTTCCCGGATTTGAACATAAATCTCTCCTTTATGTTATAAAAATGGTAGGTGAAGCAAAGGATAAACATGGGGCAGCTCTTTGCAGTGAAATGCAATAAAATCTTCTAGATAACCACAGAGGCGCTAAGGATTTAGTGCTCCTGGAACCAGAGAGGGTGTGACTGCCTTGTTTTATAGCCGTATATTCATTACAGATGGCTAAAGGAGAGGAAAAATTAAAAGGAGGACGCAAAGTTGCCCTTGTTGCAAGCAAACTGCCTCTGTTTTTCTTAAATTGTTATGGATTGCCGAAGCTGGAAGAAAACCTGCGTAGTTCCGGGTGCCAGCTCCTGGTCTGGTAGAAAGTTATTCTGACAAGCCATGGTGTGCACCTATATGTGTTTGGATAAGAGCACTGGGGGACCCCCATCCACACACTAAAGGAGGTTTAAGAAACTCAGGCCATGAACGGCTAAAGCACAGGGCTTGGTTTCAGAGAGCCAGAGAAGGTTAGAGCTAGAAAGAAGTTGTTTTACAGATGGGGAAACTGAGTCCTGAAGAGGATGCTTAACTTGCCCAAGGTCACGTGTCTAGTAGACCACTGGAAACTCTCTTGATACCTGGAGCCCTTCAATAAATGGGCAGGTAAACTGGTCTAATCTTTCTGGAAAGCAACTCGGAAATTGATCATATGCTTAGAGCCAGGACTTCCTGCCCATACTGACTTTTTTTTTTTTTTTTTTTTTTTTTTTTTGAGACAGAGTCTCAGTCTGTCGCCCAGGCTGGAGTGCAGTGGCGCCATCTCCGCTCAATGCAAGCTCCGCCTCCCGGGTGCACGTCATTCTCCAGCCTCAGCCTCCCAAGTAGCTGGGACTACAGGCACCCGCCACCACGCCTAGCTAATTTTTTGTATTTTTAGTAGAGACGGGATTTCACCGTCTTAGCCAGGATGGTCTCAATCTCCTGACCTTGTGATCCGCCCACCTCGGCCTCCCAAAGTGCTGGCATTACAGGGGTGAGCCACCGCGCCTGGCCACCATACTGACTTTCAAGCTGCAGAAGTGGGGCCTTTCCCTAGCCTTGCGCTTTGGAGAGCCCCTCCCTTCCCACCCTGCCGCGGGTGTCATCTCCCCACCAGGCAAGGAGTAGGAAGAGATCAGGGAACATGCCCATGCCTCACCAATCCCCCTAGATCACACTCCAGCTTCCTGGAACTCTGGAATTCCCTGCCCAAGCAGTCCTAAGCCAGCTTCCAGGACCTGAGCATATCACCCAAAGGGTAGCAAGGCGTGAAGGTTTATGGGAAGGGAAAGTGTGGTCAGCCCTAGAAGCTTCAGTGTGCAGGCTGAGGTGCCAACACGCATGCGCACAAGCCCCCTCCCAGTGAGAGACAAAGCTGGGGGTGGGAAGAGGAGGCGGTCAGGCCCCGGGTCAGTGCCTGGGGTCCGTTCTCCCCACGCCAGCATGTTCCATTACAGAACTCCAAGGAACCTACAAATTCTAAATTCAAACCTTGTATTTCAGGCCATTTTGAAGGTATATTTGTCAAGGTAGATGGCTAGAATATATCTTATATAAATTATCAATTTGTTTGCTTGATTTATAACTTAAATATCTAGACACATTTTTACTTTTGCTCTGAGCTCAGCAAATCAGGAATAGACTGATTTTTCTCAATACTCAAAAGACATAATCAGAAATGCAAACAAAGCTTTATGCACAAAGATATTTAAAGTATATTTTATAAGAGCCAAGAATATGTATCATCTTAAAAGTCCAATATTAAGTGAAGTATTAACTAAATTATATTATACCCTAGATGTAAGATCTCTCAAAGATTTTAGGCTTGAATGATTGGAGATGGAGGAAGAACAAGTTGCAGGAGACGGTGAGGAGTTGCAAACCAAGAGTTCCATTGTGGACATATTATGTTTGAGATGCCTGCAGGCAAGCAGGTGGTTGGTTATACAAATCAAGAACACAGGGCTAGAAATATAAATTTGAGATTCACATAAATAGAATTATCATGTATATATGATCATATCAATATGATTACATCTATATATAAAACCATTGGAATCATATAT